>NC_000003.12:173099513-173251028 GCF_000001405.40 Homo sapiens | reverse complement strand
TCATTTCCCAGGAGCCTGTCTAGTTCTGTTAGTCAATCACTTTATCAGTCCCATTCACTAATTGATTCTTACCGCATTTATTAAGTGCTAATTTTATAACCATCGCAGTACTTTATGTTGGAGACAAATGGTAAGTAAAACATAGTCTCTCCCCTCAAAGAGCTTGGAGTCAAATAGAGGGAAAGGGGCTTGTGAGCTACCTGATGAAGTATCAGAAAGGTTACAAAATGGGTTGAAAAGTTCTGGTTTATGATCTCTGTCTACTTAGACCATGTTCAATAATTGCCTCAAATGCAGGAATAGAAGACCATGGATGAGGAAGATTCGTCCAAGAATAGACCTGGGGGCTGCCCAAACTAGCTGACCCAGTAACGCAGTCCTCCCCCAGGGCAGTGATTCATTGTGATTCCTTCCTAGAAGAACACTACATATCATATAACCCTGTAATAATCCATATACTTTTTCTTCTAGTCCCAATTTTATTGCAGTAATCATGTTCTTTTTTATTAATCTTATATTAAGTGTTTGGAGAATAGATACACGTATCAATTATCCACACATAGAAAAGTAGGAGGATCTAAAATTGGAATTGACTAAGATGATTTACACATCATCCAGAGATCTTGACTTTACCATTAGCTAAGAGTTCACTTGTCTCCCTTTTTGGACAGGGTTGGGACATTTAATATAGACATGAACATTTGTGACATAGATTAAGAGAAATAGATGTATAGTAGATGTGGAGCAGTCAATTGGTCAGGTAGTGATATGATTTGCCTCTGTGTCCCCACCCAAATCTCATCTCAAATTGTAATTCCCATGTGTTGAGGGAGGGAGCTGGTGGGAGGTGATTGGATCATAGGGGTGGTTTTCCCCATCCTCTTCTAGGGATAGTGAGGGACGTCTCATGAGATCTCATGGTTTTAAAAGTGGCAGTTGCCCCGGTATGCCCTCATTCTCCTGCTGCCTTATGAAGGAACTTGCTTCTCCTTCACCTTCCATTATGATTGTAAGTTTCCAGAGGCCTCCCCAGCCATGCAGAACTGTGAGCCAATTAAACCTCTTTTCTTTATAAATTACCCAGTTTGGAGACTGATTTGAGTAATAATAAAACTCAAGTCTTCCTCACAGATGAGAGATAGAGAATTACTCTTTCTCTTTTGCAGTTACTATTTCTCTATTGCAATTCCTCTGTCTTGATAAACTGGCTCTGTCCGGGCAGTGGGCAAGGTGAACCCATTGGAAGATTACAAATCTGGGGGCTTATCTGGGATTGCCCCTGTGGCTACCTGCCTGTGGTTCAGTAGCTCCCCTCCAGCAATGGATACAGAGGCCAGCCCAAACGGCCACATAGTTCTCTTGGACTGGAGGCTGACTCTGGTACTGCAGTGCTGCCAACCCAATGTGCATGAATTTAATTGCAATAGAGAAAGAGTCCTGGGGAGATGTCCCATAACTAGCCCTGTCATAGGGTATCTGTCTATAGCTACATAGCAAGGTGTCTGTAACTGTAGTCATAAAATAGGGTGTCTGTCTGTATCCCAGTCATGGAGTGTCTGTAGGTGTAGCCCCATTATGAGGTGTCTAGTTTGGTGAGTATCCCAGGTGCTGCCAATGCCTCCTTCCTGCTCCCAATTGGTTTGACTCCTTCAGGGGTCTCGGTTTTTCTGTAGCCCCATGGTGGGGTGCCTGTCTGTAGCCCCACTGCAGGGTCTCTGTCTTGGTTCAACTCCTTTGGGGGTCTTGATTGGCTCTCCCTAATTAGTAGGAAGAGTCTTGGTTTGGGAGACTTCTCCCCAATCAGGATGATCTTGGAGAGATTTCTTAGATGGAGAATAGGAAGATGGTTTGGAAGGGATACTCTTGGGAGTTCTTGGTTAGGGATCTTGATTTGGAAGGCTTTCTGTCCATCTTGTCTTTGTGTGTGTCAGAAGGAATTGCTGACAGAAGTCTAGCAGGCCTAACTCAGAGAATCCTCCTTATTTTTCTGGTCACATTTGGTGAGTCCTGAGGAAAGCTCAACAGGGCTGATTTGGGGTGACTATTCACTCTTCATGTTGCCCAGAGACCACCCATTGAATTATCGGTTGGAGGTCATCCCTCCCTACTTGGAATGGATCAAAGACAACAGGGACCAATAGGAGAAAGCCTGAGCCTTGCCTGGTCAATATTGGTTGCTGAATGAGGTGATTAATGTCTGTTTTGTCATGTGTATTTTGCTTTGGCTGGGATGGAAAATGTTAATTTGGTTCCCCATGTAGCCTGTTGGGAGCATCTTGCAAAATTGAGAATCTCTTGCCTATGGTTCCGTAAAACAGATAAGGGTGATTTTTTTTTTGTAAAGTGGCTTGACCCCCACAACTATGGCGCAGTGAGAAATGTCTCAAAAGCCGCTCCATTCTTCTGGAAGCTGCAGAGAAAGGGAACCTGGAAACCTGGTATGCTAGCAAAAAGGGTATGAAATTCTTACCAATCAAGTTTCTAGTCTCTCACACTCTCTGTTTGTGTATTCATGTGTAAATGGTAAACATCACTATTTGTCTCCTTTGCAAGCATTTGATTAATAGAAGAAAGGATCTGTGAGACTAGTCTTAAGCTATAACAAATCTGGTGTGCTTTGTACTAAGAATTTGTCTTTTTGTGTCATTCTGTAATGGAGAGAGGGGCATCACAGGATAGGACGTGGATTTAGGATCCCTATAAGCCTGCTGAAGCCTTGGTTTCTGCCATCAATAGGACAGAAATTTGGGGGTTCATGTCATAGTTATCCCTAAAAATTATCTTGAGCATTTAAGAGCCTTTGCAAGCTCTAAATTGGCTTCTAGGCACCTTCTCAGAAGAGCAATAGAAACTGCTCAATGCTGTAACTCAGTAGCTAAGATTTTGTCTTTGACCATGGTAGCCTAGGTTCAATTCTTGGCTTAGGGAGTGAGTACTTTCTAGTTTGTTATTTGAGTAAATTTTTGCCATTTATTGATTCTTTTCCCTCATGGGCCGCTTCTGATTCCCTGTCTTTATTTTCCTTTCTCCTTCCTCTCTCTAACCTTTGAAGAGAATCTAATTCTTGTAAAAAAAAAAAAAAGGAAAGAAGAAAGAAAGAAAGAAAAGAAAAAGAAGAAAGAAACCACTTACTATCTCTTTGAGACACTTTACCTTATGCCTTCATGGTTAAGTTATAACCTTATTTAAAACTTATTAATTTTATGTGGAGGGTTTTCTGTGGTAGAATTCAAAAGCCGGAAATATTGGCTATCCTGGCTAGAGTCTGGCAATAAGAAATTTAAAAGGATTTTTTGTAAAGAAAAAAAAGCTCTGTAGTTAAAATCAGCTTAATTAAAATAAGATATCCAAGCTGTACATATATTTAAAAGACCTTTATGTTTTTTCTCTTCTTGGATCTTATTTTTCTGAAGGAAAGAAAAGGTTTTCCTTTTCAGTTGACTGAATTGTTTTTCCCAGTTTAGTCTTCTTGCCACTCTTGATGTCAACATGAGAGAACTTAAGATAAACTCTAACAGCCTGGGACTCCTGGGGAAAAGCAGAGAAGGTGCCACAGACCCCATTTTAGGAAAAACCTCCATTTTCCTCATGGAACCCCAGGAATTGAGAGAAAATAGATCCCTCTAAAATCTAAGGCTTTGTTCTGTTTCACACTGCATTAGCTGACTTTTTTAACTTTTGGGGGGTATCAGAAATTATTTTGCATTATGGGAGAGCTTTTAGCCTTGGTGTCTAACAACTAGGTAGGAAATATATTTTAAGGGATGGCTAATGGCAGTTGAGGAGAAATACTTGGCTTTTTGCACGCTTGGATTAGAGAAGCATGCTCTTGGCCACCCAGAAGACATGGAAACGTCCTCACCACCCATTGAGAGGTGAGACCTCCATGGGGGATTGGCTGATTACAAAATGGGCTGATTGGCTTTGGGATGCCTTGCAATGAAATGCACCATAGAAGCATTACACTATCTTCTCCCATAGTATCCCTCTCCTTTTGCGGGACAAAGGATTCATCATAAAATGACACCCTTAATTTGGGGGATCTGTTTTTGCCTTCCAGCTGTGCCTGCTTATTAGGACCTAGAAACTGCAAGCTTTCCTGGCCCTGTTCCTCTAAGAGCTCCACCCTGAAGCCAGTAATGCAACTAAGAAACAAGTAAATGAAAAATCTTACAACTACTGGATCTTCCGTCTGTCTGTGTATTTATATGTGTTGTCTGTGTGGTGTTTATATATAAAAGAGCTCTGATTAATTGTCTTGGAAAGATAAGTGCTTAAATCATATATCAGCAGAAAAATAGAAACTTTAATGCCTGTTTGTTCACATGACTTAAGTAATCGTTTGGGAATAAAGACAGTTTTAAAGCCTATTGGTAAAACAAAAGCGTCTTCAAAATTTAGACATTTGGTCTGAATTAAGGCCAGATATCAGATTTGCTATGTGCTTTAAGGTCATAAACTGCTTCTTTGACTTTTGAAAATTGTTTAATTTACCTACTTTGTAGCATTAGTTCTAGATAAGGCCTGGGGACATGTGGAGTTAGCCATGTTCTCTGGCTATGCTGGAAAGAGTCAGACCTTGTCTGCACTTCTGTCTGATGTCCTAGTCTCCACACCTAGTACATAATTAAAATTGCTAATTTATCAGGTTTTTCACCAAAATAAAAGTTGCTAAGAGTGACCATTTTAACATGTAGTTGAGACTACTAGGGAAAGAGTTTTACGTACAAAGTTGCAAGGTATAGAAGGAAAGTAGAATATGGTTTTGGTGGGTGATTATAAGAAGGCATGGGAATATGGTTTCTGTTAAAGGGGATGTAATTTTGTCTAATTCAGAGGGTTTTAAAGATTGTCTTAACCTGAAAGAGTAATGGGACAAAACTGAAGGTGTAAGCAAGTTGAAAAGGGTTTGTGATAGTTTGATCTTGTAAAAAAAAAAAAAAAAAAAAGTTCTGTGGGTATAAGCAAGCTAGCTAAGATTTGAAGGGGATTATTTAGTTTCTTTTTTCTGTAGGTTGAACATTTAAATAAAAGCACACTGATGCAGGACCAGAATCTGGGCCCATGTGTCTGAATAACAGGGTTTTCTTAGAAAACTGATCTGCTGTTTAACAGAAAACTGTAAAGGGTTCTAAAAGTTTTATGAAAATCTTACTTTATGGTCAAATGAATTAAAACTGGACAGATTTCTGAAATTTTATGAAAATGAAGTGTTATTATTAAAGATGCAGTAATGCAAACATGAAATTTGGTTTTCCCTTTTGAAAACAATTTTTATGTAACATTGACACAATGAAAGATTTTTGCCTTTCAAGTAAACTACAAAAAAGTGGGGGGATGCATATTCAGTTGGCCTCATGCTGTCTTCATCCAGTCTTGTTGTTTGAAATGCTGAGTATCCTATCAGAGTCTACAAAGAACTCAAATCACCAAGAAGAAAAAAAACAATACCATAAAAAAGTAGGCTGAAGACAGGAATATACAATTCTCAAAAGAAGATATACAAATGGCCAACAGACATCAAAAAATATTCAACATCACTAATTATTAGGTAAACGCAAATCAAAGTCACGATGCAATACCACCTCACTCCTGCAAGAATGGCTATAATAAAAAAATCAAAAAATAAAAGATGTTGGCATTGATGCAGTGAAAAGGGAACACTTTTACACTGTTGGTGGGAATGTAAACTAGTACAACCACAATAGAAAACAGTGTGAAAATTCCTTAAATAACTAAAAATACATCTACCATTTGATTCAACAACCCCACTCCCAGGTAGCCACCCAGAGGAAAATAAGTCATTATACAAAAAAGATACTTGCACACACGTTTATAGTAGCACAATTCACAAATGGAAAAATATAGAACCAGCCCAAATGCCCATCAATTGAGTGGATAAAGAAAATGGGATATACATATGTATATATATATATACACACACACATACACACATACACACACACACACACACACACACACACACACACACACCATGGAATACTACTCAGCCATAAAAAGGAACAACATAATGGCATTCGCAGCAACCTGGATGGAGTTGGAAACCATTATTCCAAGTGAAGTCACTCAAGAATGGCAAACCAAACATCATATGTTCTCACTCAAAAGTGGGAGCTAAGCTATGAGGACACAAGGGCATAAGAATGACACAGTGGACTTTGGGGACTTGGAGGAAAGGGTGGTGGGGGGGGGTGAGGGATAAAAGATTACACATTGGGTACAGTGTACACTGCTCAGATGATGGGTGCACCAAAATCTGAGAAATCACTACTAAAGAATTATTCATGTAACCAAACGCCACTCCTTCCCCCAAAACCATTGAAATACAGAAGGAAAAAGGATCAGACTCAGCTATAGCAGAGATTTTGGATTTATTAGTCCAGGAATTTTTTTTTAAAATAAGCAAAAATAAAAATTTCTCTAAGATAGGAGTCATAACCTTTAAGAAAATGTACTATTTTAAAAAAGATATTTTCCATACAGAGTAAGGTATAGCAGAATATGAGGAAATTAAGTTTCTTCAAAATTTAAAATAAAAAAATTACCCAGTTTCAGGTAGCATCTTTATAGCAGTGTGAAAACAGACTAATGCAGGTAGTAATAGAAATATGTTGTTTTCAGATACCAAAATCTTTCTATATTTTCATCTCTATCACTTTTAGTTTATGTTCTCCTGTCAGAGTCAATTCTGTCTCATCCTTGGACTGGAGCGCATGACTTAGTACTAATCCAATCAGGGCATCATATTTGCTTAATTCTTATGATTGAGTGAGAATGTGACCTAAGTTAAGCCAACCAGAATTAATCTCAAGACTTCATAAAAGCTACTGAAAGAGATTTGCATTTTCTACCATTTGGCCTGAAGTTATGAAAAATGTAAGTGATAGCAGCATAGCAGCCATTTTGTGGTGAAGATGAAGGAGCATGCCACAGAATTAACTCAAAAGAAGTACAATAACAGAGCTAAGTAGCACCAAGAAATGGAGATAACTTAGCCCCAGTGATATTGTGTGAACCCAATATTTCAAGTCAGGTCTAAGTGTAGTTCAGTTACATTAGACAATACATTCCCTTTTGGCTTAATCAATTTTTTCTTCTCTCTTGCAAACAAAAGAATCCTACCTGATTATGGAGGTACAATAATATCTCCATTGATTCTTCCTATTTAGTTTTCTAGCTTAGTATAGAAAGTAAGTGTGGTATACTTTGAACTGGAAGAAAAATAAGTATTTTTTCAAAGTAAGAATAAAAATAAGAATTCTTCATTCAAAACAATCTTCATGAGAAATCTATGAAGACAGAAGATATTCTGTATGATTTTTAAGATGGTTTTTCTACAGTAGAGTTCTCCTGGAGCAAAAGAAAATAATTTATTTTGTGGTAATAAATGAACATTGTGATTTTGCAAAGTCTGTTTTATTCTAATGGTCACGTTCTTTCCATTGCACCACTTGGTTCATGACCAATGAATGGTTTACAGCTTGCATGTTTTATGGACAAAATCCCCAGAATAATTCAAAGCAATATGCAGAATCTTCTCTGCCTTTTCCCAAATCACTAATCTATTATAGTCTTAATATCCAGAGACCTATTACGACCATGCCACTGTCAACTCTCTTCCTTTCAGCTTCACTGAAAAAAAATCTCTTGGTGGTGTCCATCTTAAAAGCAAGATCCTCCAATTCTGAAAGCTCTGTAACAGAGAGAATCACTTAGTCTTCCATTCAAGAAACATTTATTCAGTGCTTATTTTGTTCTAGTATTTTGCTGGGTACATAATAACAAAGGTGAATTTAAAGAAGAAGAAGAAGAAAAGACATGCCTTCTGCCAGATGAAGCCAGCAGTCTAATGAAGAGAAAAAAAGTGCTCATTTAAGAAATTTCTCACCTAGAAAAGTTTAGAAAAACACTGATTTTAATAACTGAATAAAAGTAATTCTTAATAATGGAACAGAGGGTAGAGGGTAAACAATGGGACAGCCCATCATTTTTAAAATACTTTCTGTTGGCCAAATGTTCTTTCCTTCTCTCTTATTAGACAGTGTAAGGCATAAATAAAGTTGCCTTGAAACCAGGTAGGAAATAAATGAATGTTGCCTTCGATACAATCCTCTCTTCTCACTACTATTTTATAAGACCCCTGAAATATAAAGCAAGGTTGCTCTTCATTATTTGGAAATTGTTCTTGACTTACGGGTCCTTTTTTTCTTTGAAATTTACTGGCTACAACTCATTTCTTAAGACATAAGTTGTCAATTACTTAAAGTTAGAAAAAATGTCGTTTGGAGCACCCACTTCCATGCCTGTCACATTTAGCCACTCAATAAATATTAGGATTTCCCCCCTTTCAACCAAATGTGATAAATTAACCCATGTTTCAATGAGAACTTGTTACAGAAGCCTTTAAAAAAATAATAGCAGAGTGGCTTAAAAACATAATGAACTAAGTAACCTGAAAGAACTTCTAATATAAAACATCTAGATATATTGGATTAAATATAACAACCACCCTTTAAATTTATAACTGAGCACATAATAAATCAATGCAATTCAAGTAGGAGAAAAAAATAACAAAAACAAACAAACAAACAAAACACCTAGGGGTAAGGGGATAAGGGAGTAAGGAAGATTCTAAAGGTAGCAACCGGAATGGAAGCTAAATTAGCTGATTTCACTAACCAGGAGGCTTAGGTTTAATGTACTTAACAGAGATAGGAGAAAAAGATTGTTTCCTTTTACACGGACATGAATTTGAGTCACATGATCCAGATAACCTCATAACATAAAGAAGTCCCATGTTGGTAAAAATTATTTCTGCCTTTAAATATATATTTCCAAAAAGAAAACATCAGAGGATTCTCATAGATAACGTCTCACCAAAAATAAACTCACCTTCAAAATTACATAACTCATGAGGAAATAGGCCATAATGAGTGAGAACCCACAGAGTCAACAATAGCTGACACAGGCCTCTAAAAATATCAGATAACAAAATTCTCACTTTTATAATAAACAAGTATATTTAAAATGTATAAAGAATTTAAAATATTTTATTTTTAATATTTTAAATTATTTTTAATATATTATTTTAAAATATTATTTTAAATTCTTTATTATTTTAAATTATTACTACTGGTAATAGTTTACCATTAAATAATACGTGCCAGAATTGAAGAAAAAAACACAATAGAAATTTCAGAAATCAAATTACCATCCAACTTAAAAACTCAATCAATAGATTAAGCAGAAGAGTAGACATAGGTGAATAGATAAATAAGCTGGAATGTAGATCTGAAGAGTTTAACTGGAATAAAGAATACAAAATAAAGAGATGGAAAACATAAACAAAACTGAGAGATCAGGAAAATAGAATACGATCCAATGTATATCTAAGTGATGTTAAAGTAAGACTAAATACAAAAAATTAGCTGGGCGTGGTGGCGGGCACCTGTAGTCCCAGCTACTCGGGAGGCTGAGGCAGGAGAATGGCGTGAACCCGGGAGGCGGAGCTTGCAGTGAGCTGAGATTGCGCCACTGCACTCCAGCCTGGGCGACAGAGCGAGACTCTGTCTCAAAAAAAAAAAAAAAAAAAGAAAGAAAAGAAAAAAAGGTAAGAGTAAAGAGAAAGAATGGGTAAGAGGCAAAATTAGAAGTGATAATGAGTTAGAATTTTTTCCTAGAAATGATAAGTTATGAATCACCTGTTCAGAAAACACATGATTGGAATAAGCAAAAAGAAATAAAAACCTGGACATAGTATGATATACTTTAATATACCAAAGAGAAAGAGCAAATCCTAGTAGCTGTAATTGAAAGATAGATAACCTACAAAAAAAAAAAAAAAAAAAAAAGACAGGTAAGCCAAAGGCAAACTTCACAAGATGTAAGAAAAACAGAAGACCTGAATGATATCTGAAGATATTGAGTGAAAATAACAATCAACCTAGAGTTTTATATCTGGTGGAACATCTAAAGAAAATATTTCACAATGATAGAAATTGAATTAGGGCTGAAATTACAAAAATAAAGGTGAGCAAAAATGTGGCAATGGTGCATATATACAACAACAAATTGAATGAAAAAGTAATAAAAATATTAATTACTGTAAGACTTATGAAGTAAGCTGGAACTAAAAGCTGACACCAGTAACGTATAAGATGGGAAGAAACTAGAAATGAAGTGTTCTATGATTTTGGTGCGCTATTTGGTGGCCTTAAATATGCTGATTAATTTTAGAGTTTGTTAAGTGTCATATGCATACATGTTAAAATTTTAAGAACAGTCATTACAAAGTATAAAGAAAGTATATAATTTGAAAACCTGTAAGGTAGGAAAGTGAAACGAAAAAAAATAAAACTTGAAATATCAAAAGATAGAATAGAAAAACACTCACAGAAAAAGTAGAACAAATAGAAGACTCACAATGTATCAGGGTTGACAGTATATACAGAAACTGCAAGAATGGATTTTTAAAATAAAATTGCCTACAAGATGTACATGCAAAATTGTAAAATTCAATGGAAGGTAGAATGTGATTAAGATGTTGAATATTATATACAAGAAAATTACTGGAAAAACTAAGCTAGTGTGGCTTTAAAGATGTCTTACAAAATGGATTATGATGTCAAAAGCATTTGTATGAAGATATTTACTTCATAATTTTAAAAGGTACATTTCCCCAAGAATCTACTAGAATTCTAAATATGTATGTACTTGATAGTATTTCTCACAACTATTAATGCAAAACTTGATCAAATTTCACAGAAGACAAATCTACAATTATTTGTGAAAGTTCAATATGCATTTTTTTTGTTAACTGAGAGCTCCAGCTATTTTATGTATAGATATAAAATCAATCAAGATTTGAACAATTAACAAGCTTGATCTATTAGTCTGTTCAGGCTGCTATAACATAATACCACAGGCTTAAAAAACAGAAATTTATTTCTCAAAAAACTGCAGGCTGAGAAGTCCAAGATCAAGGTGCCAGGAAGATAAGTTTTATTCTGAGGCCTCCTCTTGGCTTTTAGGCTGCTGCCACCTTGCTGTGCTCACATGACCTTTTTTTGTTTTAAAATAACATGTTTTTTAGGGACATGGATGAAATTGGAAATCATCATTCTCATTAAACTATCGCAAGAACAAAAAACCAAACACCGCATATTCTCACTCATAGGTGGGAACTGAACAGTGAGAACACATGGACACAGGAAGGGGAATATCACACTCTGGGGACTGTTGTGGGGTGGGGGGAGGGGGGAGGGATAGCATTGGGAGATATACCTAATGCTAGATGACGAGTTAGTGGGTGCAGCGCACCAGCATGGCACGTGTATACATATGTAACTAACCTGCACATTGTGCACATGTACCCTAAAACTTAAAGTATAATAATAATAATAATAATAATAATAATAAATAAAATAACATATTTTAACATTACTCATGATTCAAAAGGAAATTAGGAAAGATTGGAACTTGAAAGAGAATGAAAATATGGGCCTTCTGTGTGTAACGTGATATGGATATCACCTATGAAACCTTGATTCTGCAAAACTCCCCACTGAAAATAAGAGGGTATATTGGAAAGATAGGTCTGGAATACAACACCTAAAATCTACACAACTTTGTAACTAAAGCACTACTAAAAATAGTAACAATCCCAGTAAAACAATAGCATAATTAAAAATACATGTTTACTCTTTAATAAATTAATACTATAGTTAATATAAAACTTTATTTTCTAAAATCTCCCCTAACATAAGGTTAGGTTAGAAAGCTTAGAGCGTGCTGAATTATAGGAAGGGTGAAATGCACAAAAATAAGGGAAAGAAAAACACAATAGCAATTTCACGAGAAAGCACATGACTAAATTAAGCCAAAGAGAAGGCCACGGAATGAATAAATGTCATTTATAGCACTATGTTCACCCACAGCTGACAGTATCCAGCATTATTAGTTCACATTCTATTCTAGTGCACTTTGCATTTTACTGCTATTACTTTTGGTAAGATGTAATCTTAACATGTTGGTTTTCTTAAAAAAGTATGAACCAAAACAATATAGGCATTATGTAAGCATTATTCTCTTATTTACCAATCTTACATGAGCTAATTCTTGTTACAGAACACTAGCAGTAGCAGAAATCTTACCATATATAACAATTTACTACTAGAGGGGAATTAATAGCCTTAAATGCCTTTATTAGAAAACACACGGAAACTTAGTTGGTATTTACATAGGCTGAATCTAATCAGGAGAAAGAAATCAGGGGAAGTTTAAAATCATTTTGATATAAAGAATTATTGATTATGATAGAAGAGTTACCATAATGATAGACAGAGAACTCTAATGGAAATTGATCCAAGGCCTGAGAGCGAGTGCCCAAGGAAAGACAAATTTGAAAAGATGTTCAAACCTTGTAGAGGAAAATATGGTTGTGGCTCAGTTAGTTAAGGAAAGAGTTTGCTGGATTGCTAAACCAAAGCTGGTCCTCAGTGGCTAGACAAGCAGGAACAACTCTCTGGAGTGCAGAGAAGTTAAAGCTGTGGACAGATATCAGATGGAGTTGAGGCATCACTGGGAAAATGAAGAATAGTGCTGTGTTTGTGTCAGGAAGAAAATAAACCTTCAAGACACAAACAAGTTAGAATGACAAATAGGCACTGAGAAGCATTCCGGAAGAGTGGGGTTTGGGGCAGTACGGAAGTGAAGAGTGAGTGGGCAGGGAGATTAGAGAGTGGAGGGAAGGAGGAAGTCACCGCAATGGTTGCTAGTGAAACCAGGAGCTGGAGAAGCCTTCCTCTACAGGAATCTAGCATTCTTCTTTTGTACAGTATGGGCTGAGTGATTCTGGGACAGCTTCTAGGAGTTAAGATTGGGAAGCAATGTCATTAAATGGCCAATCCACTGGGGCCCCAAGCCTGGTTCATGTGAGACTGAGGGGAGAGTGCAGGGAGTAGGGATCTTGGCCAAGGCTGTAGCCCATGCTATGTAAGAGTTTGGTCTGTGTTGCTGCTGCTTAAGTCAATGGCTGCAAAAAGCACACAGTAGCCAAACACTGTATAAAGCTGATCCCTATCAGCACCGAGCCCTGAAGATTCTGTGCAGGCCAAGCAGTGGATAAAAAGGCATATTCTATAGCAGTCGATGAGCAACCCTCTCCAGAAGCAGGAAGAAAAATCTTTCTCCTTCAATGTCCCTTAAGATCTCTCAGTAGGCAAAAGAGAAATATTTATAAGGCCAACTCCTTTTCTCTTTTTTTAAAGTGTGAATTTGGAGCTGAGAGGCAATAAATCAAAGACCATCACAGTATTCATCTTGGGAAGCTAGAAAAAGATAAATAAATCCAGAGAACATTGAAAGAAAACAATAATGAAGAAAAAAGGCAAATTCAAATAAATGAAAAATACAATAAAAGAATCAATAAACCTAAAACACTTGTTTTTGAAAAAACAACTAAAAGGAGCAAAGCTGTTTCAGGATTGATCAAGAAAAACATAATAAAAACCCATAATAAATTTAAGAAGTATAAAGGTAGAATTATAGCAAAGACATACAAATAAAATAACACTATAAATACATTTAAGCCACGACATTTGAAAACTTAAGGAAATAAAAAATGAAAAATTGTACAGCCACTTTGAAAAACAGTTTTGGAGTTTTTTAAATGCTAAACATACACGTCACATGACACCTTACTATTCTGCTACTATATATGTACCCCAAAAAGATGAAAATGTAATTAATCTAAAGACTTGTGCATAAATGTTTACAGCAGTTTAAAAGATAATAGCCTAAACCTGGAAATAACCGAAGTGTTCATGAACAGGTGAATAGACAAATAATTTGGAAAGAACTAGAATTATTGATATATGCAAAATCATGAGTAAATCTCAAAAAGCATGCTGTGTGACAGAAGCTAGACATAAACAATGTATACCATATGATTCTGTTTGTATAAAACAATGGAAAACAATCTGATCTATTCTTACAGAAGACATATCATTGCTTACCCGTGGGCAGAAGAGATGATTTGGTGGACTGGGAAAGAGAACAAGGGATTGTTTTAAATAATAAAAATGCTTGGCTGGGTGCAGTGGCTCATGCCTGTAATCCCAGCACTTTGGGAGGCTGAGGTGGTGGATCACGAGGTCAGGAGATCAAGACCATCCTGGCTAACATGGTGAAACCCCGTCTCTACTAAAAATACAAAAAATTAGCCGGGCGTGGTGGCGGGCCCGTGTAGTCTCAGCTATTCAGGAGGCTGAATTAGGAGAATCACTTGAACTGGGAGGCAGAGCTTGCAGTAAGCTGAGATCGAGCCACTGCACTCCAGCCTGGGTGACAGAGTGAGACTCCGTCTCAAAAAAAAAAAAACAATTCTTTATCTTGACTGTGGTAGTGATTATGTGAGCGATATGTTTTTCAAAACTCATCAAATTACACACATGTGATAGGTTCTGGTTATATTATATTAATTTATCTTATTAAAGCTGACTTCAGAGAAAATAATTACAGTTGCTACAAAAATGTAGGGTACTTAGCAATAACATTAACAAAACATATGCAAGAACTTGGTAAAAAAAATCAAAATTTGAAGTTATTTAAAAAGATCCACGTAAATAGATGTATATACTATGTTCATGAATAGAAAGACAAGACAGAATATAGTGAAGATGTAATTTCTCCTCAATTAAGCTACAAATTAAGTGCAATTTCAGTCAAACTTAACAGTTTTATTTTTTGTAACTTAAGCTTATTTCAAAATGTATATGGAAGTATTCAGGGCCAGGATACTAAAAACAAACAGAAGTCAGAATAAGTAAAAAGTAGTGTTAGAGAGAGGTTTCCTAACAGATATCAAGATTATTTTAAAACTAAAATTATTTAACACTGTATTTGGTCTTGGCACAAGGATAGGCCAATAAACTAGTGGAACTAAAGATGCTCAAAGAAGACCCCAGTATACTTAAAAAACGCCACAAAGTGCCATTGCAAGACAACGAAGAATGAATGGATTATATCATTAATAGTCCTAGGGAAATTGATTAGCCGTCTAGGAAAAAAAATGGGCTCCACTTCATACCATATGCATTACACATTCCAGTTGCATCAAAGACCAAAATGTGAAAGGTAAAAATTTAAAACACTTATTGGAATATCCTAATAATCTTTGAGTTGGGAAGCTTTTGTACACAAGACAAAAACTACAAGCTATAGGGAAAAATAAATTGATATATTTGACAACATTAAAATTAAAGAAAAAACTGTCCATCAAAATATTTTTAATTGATGTTTCAGGAATTTATTCATATGTTAAAAAATACTCCAAAATTTAGGAGCTAGCTTAAAAACAGCAATCATTTTATTTGCTCACAGATATGCAATGTGGGCTGGGCTCAGCTGAGACTTTTGCTGGTATTGTCAGTGGTCATTCATGTGGCTGCAATCTTCTGCTGGGTTGATGAGGGCTGGATCAGTTGGGTTGCTGACATGGCTGGCCTGCTCTATCTCTTTAAGTGATTCTGGGTGTCAGCCCACTATATGACTTCTTTACATGGTCTGTCTAGCAGTGGTTTCTTCCGTGGTGGCTCAGGACTCTCAAGTACAAAAGTCAAATATGCCAGGTCTTGAGACAGAACTTGCACAAAACTTGCACAACTTCTTCTCTCTTGGATTCTACCGGGTAAAGCAACTCATAATTGATATACCATTTTAGACCCTCAAGACTGACAAAAAGCAAAAAAGTCTTACGAAGTGTTAGTGATGGTGTGGAGACTGCTGGTGGAAGTGTAAATTGTTACAAGAGGTTTTAGAGGTTGATCAGCCAACATTTTATAAAATTTTAAAACCACATAGTTCCAAAACTAACAATTTCACTGTTATGTGATATGACCTAGAAAAGTCTTATGTACATACACAAGGACACAAATACAAAAATGTTCATAGTAGCTTTGTTTGCAATAGAAAAACTAGAAAACTAAGTCTATTAATGTGAGAATGGACAAACTGTGGTAAAGTCATGCAATGGAATAGTATACAGCAATGAAAATAAAGTAGAACCGCATATATCAATATGGGAAAAATAATCCAAAAAACAATGTTAGGTTAAAAAAAGTAAGTTGCTAGGAGATATATATATATATATATATATATATATAGTATGATACTAAAATATGCAAAATGATACTATATATTATTTAGCAATACACATTTCAGTGGTAAAAGTATGCAAATATATAGGAGGTTAAACAACAAATTAAAAATAGTGGTTACCTTGAGGCATGATCTAATGCAATGAAATTATCATACCATGCATGAAAGAGCTTCATCTGTATTTTTAATGCTTTCTTTGTTAGACTGCATAGTAGATGCAGAAAAGAAATCTTTTAAAAAATATTCTCGTAAGTGTGAAGTATATCACAATATAAATAAGCAAAATAAATAAAACACCATGAAGAAAAGTATTGAACATTATAGCCTACGGTGATCACGTTGGCTTACTTAGAGTTTAGAAAGATAAATCTTAGAAGAATCAGTAGAAAGTCGTTCCAGAATAAATGGGAGAAAATGTAGTCACTAGTCATAAATCTTTGCCTATATCTACTAAACTGCCAGAGGCTCTTCTCAAAGAAGACAATCATACAGCTTACTAAAGGAGTCTTTTCCTCTAGGATTATGTACCATCTTTATTAAAACAATCTTCTATGTGTGAGGAAATTAAATTAATAGCCAAAGTTAGGTCTTGCCTATCCCATCTAAGACCAACCTGGTTTATAGCAACATGAATATTTATAAAATATGTATCTCATTATCAGACAAAAAGATATGTGTGCAAAGATATCAATTATCTTCTCTCCAAAATTGTAGAATAGAAATGTTTCCAAGCTAGAATATAAAGTTATTTCTCCCCTAGAAAATACCCTGTGGAGTACGCATGCATTCATTTTCTTCATTCCACTTTAGGGATGTTTGTTACAATGAAGAATCTGCCGTATAATGAGATAATGTGTTCAAAGTAAATACAGATACAGCCAGTAGAATTGTCTGTTTCTGGATCTTGTTTAAGAGCATGTGTTCTTTGTGTTTAGAGAGAATGTGTGATGAAAAATATGTAATTACACTCTAGGGCCAGGGCATGGTGACTCACACCTGTAATTCTTGCACTTTGGGAAGCCAAGGAAGGAGTACTGCTTGAAGCCAGAAGTTCAAGAATAGCCTGGGAAACACAGTGAGACCTCATCTCTCCCCCAAAAATAAAAAGAAAAACTAGTCCAGCATGGTGGCACACACCTGTAATCCCAGCTATTTGGAAGGCTGAAGGAGGATTTTTGTGCTCAGGAGTTCAAGGTTACAGTGAGCCATGATTGCACCACTGAACTCCAGCCTGATTCACAGAACAAGATCTGGTCTCAAAAAAAAAAAAAAAAAAATATATATATATATATATATATATGTGTGTGTGTGTGTGTGTGTGTGTGTGTGTGTGTGTGTGTGTGTATGTATATATATATGTATGTATGACTTTGGAAAGTAAATTTTATTTTTTTATTTTTTATTTTTCATTTTTGAGATGGAGTCTCTCTCTGTCACCAGGTTGGAGTGCAGAGGCGCGATCTAGGCTCACTGCAACCTCCACCTCCGAGGTTCAAGAGATTCTCCTGCCTCAGCCTCCCAAGCAGCTGGGACTACAGGCATGCGCCACCACGCCCAGCTAATTTTTGTATTTTTAGTAGAGACGGGGTTTCACCATGTTGGCCAGGATGGTCTCGAGCTCTTGACCTCATGATCTGCCTTCCTAGGCCTCTGAATCCGCCCGCCTCGGCCTCTGAATCCGCCCGCCCTCCCAAAGTGCTGGGATTACAGGTGTGAGCTACTGCGACCGGCCTAGAAGGTAAATTTTATTTACATTGAAGTGATGATCTTATACGTAATTCCTACCATCTATTCTCACACATACATACACATCAATATAGTTTTACCAATAAATCTGATAGTAAAGCCACACATTTGAAAAACCAAACTTGTGAGTGTGAATGCATGTACGTTAGATGGAAAGAGGAGAAATAAGAACTGTCTTCTTTGATCAAACCTACAGAATTGTGCGTGACAAGATAATTTCAAAATATCATTCTTCTTAAAACTACTTAGGAGATAAGCAATTTAAAAACAACCTAAACAATTAACTCCTACTCATTCTTCAAAATGGAATGCCAGTAAAACCTCCTTGGAAAGCTTTCCCTGGAATCTCCTTTCTAGCAGCTGAATTAGGCACCTCTCTCAGCGACCCCCAGGATCTCTTCCGCTATGGCACTGACCGTAGTTCTCCATACTATCCTTGTTGTGTCTCTCTCCTCGTTAGAAGATCAACACCTGGAGTGTGATCTTTTTCAGGGTCCTCAACCTAGTATCACGTCGGGCACCTCATATTCACTCAACAAATATTCGATAATCTAAATTTTTTCTGACATATATTCTGGATGTGCATCCCTACAAATATCCATCTAAGGCTCTATTCTAATCCAGGCAAAAAGTTTTTCAGGCAAGGTGTGAGGAAAAAAAAATGCTGCTTTTTCAGCAACGTGCTACCACTTTATGTTTTTATTTTCCTCTCTTTCTGCAGTAGAGCATTCTGTGTCATAACCAGAGACAACAGTCCTCTAATAGAAATAGCAGTTACTTTCCTACTTTCCAGAACATTGTGTTTAAAATATACTTTAAATGAAGTTCGTGAAAGATGCCAATGATATAAGCTTACTTTAATGCATATCTTAGCAACAAAGATAGCATTTCATTCAACTTGCATTAAAATTTTATCTTGGATAATATTTAATATATTTTCATAATATGCCTGGGTTCTTGTCACAGTATGTATAAGATAATATGCAAGAGCTCTCCTTCTCAAAAAACTGGAATAAAGGATTGAATTATGTATTGGACAAAAAGAAGTGACAGATGGTATTATAGATCACGCTGAAACACTGGTATTTATACAATAAGCATTAAATACATTTCTCTAGATAAATGAGGTTATTTGCAGGTATGACGCACCTAACCCTGAAATAATGGTTTATTTTAGGTTTGAGTGCATCACACAGCTTATTTTAGAGGCTGCATCTGTCAGAATAAAACTGATGTGATCCAGAAATTAAAAAGATATCAAAAAAGAACTCCAAGCATACCTAGAAATGTGTGAATATAAAGAGAACATAAAACTGAAGGTTAGATTTCCTCGGTGGTGGAAGAGGAATAAAATTAATAATTGAGCTTCAAAGAGAACTGAGGAAAAAGAAGTTAAGATCATGATGGATGTTATTTAAAAAACATTCCATGGATAAAGAACTGCAGCCAAGTACAAAAAGTCTAAATGACAGTTGAGAACTTAGAGCAATCCATGCAATCAATATGATTTCCTTTAATTATTAGAGACCAAAATAAATCTTTTGAGTATGTAAAAGATGGATTCTACGAACAAAATTCAAAATCACTTCTCTTTTCAGTTTGTATTTGGAAAACTGATCCTTAAGAAAAGCTGAGGGAAATAAAAGTAATCTTTGCATTATAAATTTTCTTACCCAACTTATTTCTCACATCTGCTTTTAATTATTTCTCTTCATGGAGAAAGTAAATTATTTTTTCAAAAAATATATTTTATTCAGCACCTAGCAGTGATGTCCCTCAATTTAAACCAATGACCAATCCACTTTTTTTCTGAAACCACCAATATTTTACTTGAAAATTTATTGTTTATGCACCTTAACAGAAAAAATATTACATTATAAAGAAATACAACACTTTGGTCAATAACACTGCACATATGCAACAGTGGTCTCATAAGGTTATAATTGCTTCTTGACGTCTTGATGATCCTAATTCTGTATAGGCCTAGGCTCATGTGTGCCTCTCTGCCTTACTTAGTAACAAAAAAGTTTAAACAGTAAAATTAAATAGAAAATTTAAAAGTTTTAAATACAGCTTATAGAGTAAGGATATCAAGAAAGAAGATACTTTTGTTGTGTAGTTGTACAATGTGTTTAAGTGCTATTATGAGTCAAAAACTTTAAGATAATTTAAAAGTTTATAGAATAAAAAGGTTATAGTAAACTAAGCTTATTATTAAATAAAATATTTTCTATAAATTTAGTGTCACCTAAGTGTACATATTTATAAAGGCTATATTAGTGTACAGTTAGGTCTGAGGCCTTCACATTCACTTACCACCCACTCACTGACTCACCCAGAGCAACTTCTGGTCCTGTATGCTCCATTCACAGTAAGTGCCCTATGCAGATGTAACTGTTTTTAAGCTTTTACACCATATTTTACTGTACATTTTCTATGTTTAGATACACAAATACTTACCATTGTCTTACAACTGCCTACAGTGTTCAGTATAGTAACATGCTGTACAGGTTTATAGTCTAGGAGCAATAGGCTATGCCATCTAGCCCAGGTATGCAGTAGGCTATACCACCTAGATTTGCATAAGAAAATGTATAATATTTGCAAAATAATGAAATCACCTAATGACACATTTCTCAGGATGTATCCCCATTGTTAAGTGACACATAACTATAATATTTTCTATCATATTCTCTAAGATTTCTGGATTGTAGGAACAATTTCTTCAATGTAATGCTCATTTTGGAGGCTGATCTTGGGCCTCCCCTGACACCCCTGTGCAGCTATGCCCTTGACCCTATTTCCAAGTATAGAGTGGGACATTCTGTCATTTATCAATCACTTACTGGTACATAACATTACCCACTCTTTTCTAAAAAGTAAAATACTAAGTTGAAATCAAAGTGCTTACTTGCACTTGAGAAAATGTCTGGTAACACAATATATAAGTCCCACTATTTCCTTTTAAATATTCATTTAAGTGTGAATATGAAATATGTTTACATACGCATTGATGATAATATCTTTAGAACAAAAATGATTATATAAAAATCAACTTACATGTTGCCAAAGAACAAAAAGTCTTTCATGTTTTCTCCCTGGTTATCCTATCTAAATACAGGAATACCTCATCTTATTGCATTCTGCTTTATTGCACTTTGCAGATATTGCATGTTTTACAAATGGAAGGTTTATGGCAACCCTGCATTCAGCAAGCCTATTGGGGGCATTTTTTCAACACCATGTATTCACTTTGTGTTTCTTTATCCCATTTTGTAATTCTTGCAATATTTTAAACTTTTTTAAATGATTATATCTGTTATGGTAGTCTATAATCAGTGGTCTACCATCATTGAATTTTGATGTTACTATTATGTTTTGGAGCACCACAAATTGCACCATTATGAGAGAGCAGACTTAACTGATAAAAGTTGTGTGTGTTCTGATTCCTCCACTGATCATTCCCTTCCTCTTTTTCTCTCTTGGGCCTCCCTATTCCATGAGATATAACAATATTGAAATTAGGCCCATTAATAACGCTACAATGATCTCTAAGTATTTAAGTGAAAAAAAGAGTCACATGTCTCACTTTAAATCAAAAGCTAGAAATGATTAAGCTTAGTCAAGAAGTCATGTTGAAAGCTGAGATAGGCCAAAAGCTAGTCCTCTTATGCCAGTTAACTAAGTTGTGAATGCAAAGGAAAAATTCTTAAAGGAAATTTAGTGTTAGGCCAGTGAACACACAAATGATAAAAAAGGAAAACAACTTTATTGCTGATATGGAGAAAGTTTTAGTGGTATGAAGAGAAGATCAAACCTGCCACAACATTCCCTTAAGCCAAAGCCTAATCCAGAGCAAGGTCCTAACTCTCTTCAATCCTATGCAGGCTGAGGTGGGCGAGGAAGCTGCAGAAGAAAAATTGGAAACTAGTAGAGGTTGGTTCATGAGGTTAAAAAGAGAAACAATCTCCATAACATAAAAGTGCAAGGTGAAGCAGCAAGTAGTGATGTAAAAGCTGCAGCAAGTTACCCAGAAGATCTAGCTAAGATCATTAATAAAGGTGGCTACACTGAATAACAGACTTTCAACATATATGAAACTGACTTCTATTGGAAAAAGATGCCATCTAGGACTTTCATAGCTGGAGAGGAGAAGTCAATGCTTGGCTTCAAAGCTTCAAAGGATAGACTGACACTCTTGCTGGGGGCTAATGCAGCTGGTGATTTTAAGTCAAAGCCAATGCTCAGTTAACTTCCAAAAAGCCTAGAGCCTTTAAGAATTATGCTGAATCTACTCTATTTGTGCTGTATAAATGGAATAAGAAAACCTGAATGATAACACGTTTGTTTACAGCATGGTTTACAGAATATGTTAAGCCTACTACTGAGACCTAACGCTCAGAAAAAAATTCCTTCAAAATATTATTGTTAATTGACAATGCACCTAGACACTTAAGAGCTCTGATGGGGGTGCACAAGGTTAATGTTGTTTCCATGTCTACTCACACAATATCTGTTTTGCAGCCCACGGATCACGAAGTAATTTCAACTTTCAAGCCTTACTATTTTTTGTATTTTATTATTTTTATATAAACAGGGTCTCACTATGTTGCCCAGGATGCTCTCAAATTCCTTGGCTCAAGTGATCCTCCTACCTTGGCCTCCAAAGTATTGGGATTACAGGCATAAGCCACTGCCTCTGGCCAAGTCTCATTATTTAAGAAGTACAATTCATTACACTATGGGGGTGTCATAGATAGTGATTTGTCTGATGGATCTGGAAAAAGTAAATTGAAAACCTTCTGGAAAGAATTCATCATTCTGGATGCCAATAAGAACATTTGTGATTCATGGAAGGAGGATAAAATATCAACCTTAAAAAGAGTTTGTAAAAAGTTGATTCAAACCCTCATGGATTATTTTCAGAAGTTCAAGACTTTCAAGGAGGAAGTAACTGCAAATCTGGTAAAAATAGCAAGAGAACTAGAATTAAAAGTGGAGCCTGAAGATGGGAATGAATTGCTGCAACCTCATGATAAAACTTGGATGAGTGAGGAGTTGCTTCTTATGGATGAGCAAAGAAAGTGGATTCTTGAAATGGAATCTACTCCTAGTAAAGATGCTTTGAACATTGTTGAAATGACAACAAAGGAATTAGAATATTCCATAAACATGGAATTTTGAAAGAAGTTCCACTGTGGGTAAAATGCTATCAAATGCGTCACATGGTACAGAGAAATCTTTTCTGAAAAGAAGAGTCAATCAATACAGCAAACTTCACTGTTATTTTAAGAAATTGCCATAGCCACCTCAAGTTTAGCAACCTGATCCATCAGCAGCCATTCAACATCATCAACATTGAGGCAAGACCCTCCACCATCAAAAAGATTAGGACTCCCTGAAGGCTCAGATGATCAATAACAATTTTTATCAATAAAGTCTTTTAATTTAGGTATGCACATTTTTCAGAAATAATGCTTTTACATGCTTAATAGACTACAGTATAGTGTAAATATAACTTTTATATGCACTGGGATACCAAAACTCTGTGATTTGCTTTATTGTGATTTTGCTTTATTTTGTTGGTCTGGAATAAAACCCATAATATCTCTAAAGAATCCCTACATATAATGGTAAAAGCTATTCCTGGATGCCAGGAACAACAAGTCTACAATAAAGAGATGGAAAAATAATGAACATACAATAAAATCTATTCATATTCAACTTCGAAAAAAGATTATTATCCAGATGTGGTGGCACATGCCTGCAGTCCCAGCTATTTGTGGGGGCTGAGGTGGAGGAATCACTTGAGCCCAGGAGTTAAAGGCCAGCCTGGGAAACATAGTGAGACCCCCCCATCTCTAAAAAAAATTAATGCATTGATCAACCTTCCTTATTTTAACATGCTTGTATTCTTGCTCATGATCTCCTACCTAAATAACTGAAAATCATAGCTATATGCACATAGAATTATTTTCCACTTCTAATATGTAACATTTTTCTACTCTGAATATAAATGAAGACGCATTAAGTCCATTGAGCAAAAATCTACATCAAAAGAATTTTTTCTCTGTTGAAAAGCTATTATATGTTCTGTTCTAAAAGGAAGAAAAAAAGCACATTATATGAAAACAGTGCATGGTTCAAAGCAGGTAAAATTCTGTTGGAAGCCTACTAGAATAATTGAAGTGGGACCAATTACACATGATATTGATGATTATAAAACAGTCAGTGATTAAATATGAAGGAGATAATAGTTCTGGAAAACTTCAATAGCAATATAAACTGAGGCAGAGGTAAGTGGGAAGGGAAATTACAAACCACAAAACATCCATCCCTAAATTTTTAAGGTATATACACATGTCTGATATTGCTGTCAGATATGATTAATTTAGATTACTTAACATTTTTAAGAAGTGGATATTTTACATTCTGAGTGCTCTTTAAAAGTCAGTACTGGGCCTACATAACAGCAATTCTCATAATAGTGATTCTCAAAATGTAGTCCCTGGACCAGCAGCATCAGCTTCAATTGGGAACTTGTTAGAAATGGAGAATTTCTGACCTCTTCCCAGATCTACTGAGGCAAAAATGCTGGGGGTGGGGCCAAGCAATCTGTATTTTTAAAAGTTTGCTAGATCATTTGGATGCATGTAAAGCTTGACAACTACTGATCTATGGCAGCAAGGCAGAGCTGTGTTTTGTTTTTTTAAAAAAAGTGTTGAGTTTTGTTCTTTTTGCTTAGTATTGTCTTGTCTATACGGGCTCTTTTGGTTCCATATGAAATATTTTTGTATTTATTTCTCTAAAGTATTTTATTATATTTATTTCTCTAAAGTATTTATTTCTCTAAAGTGTTGAGGTGATGGTATAGACTTTCTTCTTTAGTCTGTTAACAGGGGAAACCATTATGATATTGTGATTTATAATAGCATATTTATATTTGTTCTTAATCCCTATTTCCTGGCACACAACTTCGAAAAGACAGAATTCCCAACATGATTATTGTCTTTTTTGCATGCTAATGAGATAACTGGTAGCTAGGGGTTCCTGGATAGCCTCAGGATGGGGGCTGGTTGCCAGGAGAACCAACCACCTTATTAGAAGGTTGTAACTTTCAGGCCCCCACCCACTTGCAAGGTTGAGTTGATCACCAATGGCCAATGATGTAATCAATCATGCCTATGTAATGAAATTTCCTTAAAAACTCAGAGGAATAGGATTTAGGGAGTTTCTGGATTGCTGAACACATGAGGTGCCTGGATGGTGGAGTGCCTGGAGAGGGCATGGAAGCTCTGTTCCCTTTCCCACATGCCTTGCTTTTTGCTTTTCCTCCATCTGTCTGTTCATCTGTATCATTTACTAGCAAAGTGTTAAACTTAAGTAAAGTGTTTCCCTGAATCCAGTGAGCTGCTGTAGCAATAATCAAACCCAAAGAGTGGATTGTGAAAACACCAACTTAGAGTGGTTGGTCAGAAATGTTAGAGTTGATAGCTAGTCAGACACGAGCAGAGCAGGAAAGGACTCCCCCTGAAACTCACACACACACACCAGGAATGTCAGGCAACGATCAGATGACGATCAGGTAATTAATTATTAAACTGCCTCTCTAAAATAATAATCTGTTGCAGCCAGAGCCAAGG
Source organism: Homo sapiens (assembly GCF_000001405.40). Taxonomy (NCBI): domain Eukaryota; kingdom Metazoa; phylum Chordata; class Mammalia; order Primates; family Hominidae; genus Homo; species Homo sapiens. The sequence goes on along the minus strand of NC_000003.12, from coordinate 173,225,460 downwards.
AAAGGCAGTTTTCAATAGCCAGAAAACCCTGAAGCTGGTGATCAGCAGCTTCCTGAAAAGATCTCAAGAGTTGGGCAAGTGGGCTCAAGCATGTTCACTAAGAGGCAAAATGATGGAGTCTAACTGTGTATGACCTTCCAGAAGCATTCGGCTGGTAAGGGAAGAATGCCTCAAGTGAGCATGTGTACAACTCCAGTAATCACACTGCATGTGCTTCCCCTCCCAAGCACTGGCTAGCGACTGTGCATGCGGACAGTCCACCCCAAGGGAAGAATCAGGGGAGAAGGGACACTAGACCCTGGAAATATGCCAAGGTATAAAATCCCAAGTTAAAAGGTGAAGCCATGCACTTGATCTCTCAAGTCACCTGCTTGGGCCTCTTCCAAGTGTACTTTATTTCCTTTCATTCCTGCTCTAAAACTTTTTAATAAACTTTCACTCCTGCCAGGTCTCTCCTTCTGCCTTATGCTCCCCAAATTCTTTCATCTGAGGAGGCAAGAATTGAGGTTGCTGCAGACTCGTACATGTAACAGAAGCATGGGTCGCAGTGTGAGGCTTGTGATTGGCATCCGAAGTGTGGCAAAGTCTTTTGGGACTGAGCTTTTAATCTGTGGGATCTGACATGATTTCCAGGCAGATAGTGTTAGAATTGAATTGAATTATAGGGCACCCAACTGGTATCTATTGGAGACTTGCTTGGTGTGTGGTGAAAATCTTCCACACATCTGGCCACAGAAGTGTTCTGTGCTGTACTGAGTAAACACAAGAGAGCAGGAAAGACATCTCTTTTTTTGTATCTCTCAGAATCATTTTATTATATTCTACAATTAAACTATCTTTTCATACCTACTTGATAATTTGAATGATTTTCTGGTTTGGTTTGCTAATATTTTATTTAGAATTTGCCATGTATGTTATTAAGTGAATTATCCTACAATTTTTCTTTATTTTCTAGTTTTATTATCAAGGTTATGTATTAGGAAACTTTTCCATTTTTTCTTTTCTCTAAAATAATTTTTATAAGATAAGGATCACTGGCTGGGCTCGGTGGCTCACGCCTGTAATCTCAGCACTTTGGGAGGCTGAGGCAGGCAGATTACTTGAGGTCAGGAGTTCAAGACCAGCCTGGCCAACATGGTGAAACCCTATTTCAAGAAAGAAAGAAAGAGAGAGAGAGAGAGAGAGAGAGAGAGAGAGAGAGAGAGAGAGAGAGAAAGAAAGAAAGAAAGAAAGAAAAAGAGAAAGAAAGAGGCTCACCAATTTTTAAAAATTATAAATCTTCCTATGGATAGAAATTAAGCTATGTAATTATTTAGATATATAATTTAATTTTTTATTACTATATAATGTATCTGTGAATTTGCCTACTCACTAGAACTTGTTTATAATCCCCAAGTCAATACTCATAGAGTGTTTTTGCAGTATTCAAAAAAATACGCAGAGCAGTGAAAAATTTGAGTATCCCAACACACTTGGTCCCATCTGAGGTCAAAGTGAATCTCTGCCTTTATGTTTTAGCTGTCACACTGTAAACAGGTGTCCTTTTTGTGGTCTATTTAGTGCCACATTTTTCTCATTTTTGTGCTTTTGGTTGATGATTTTGGTACTTGAAATGACCCCTAAATGTAGTACTGAAGTTCTGTCTAGTGTTCCCAAGCATGAGAAGGCTGTGATGTGCTTAATGGAGAAAATGTATTTAGTCCAGACATGTTACAGTGTTGTTGGCTCTGAGTTTGATGCTAATTAATCAACAATATATATTAAATAACAGTGTCTTTAAACAGAAATACATGTAAAACAAGATAAGTATTGATCAGGTGGTAAAAATGTGACCAGAGGCTCACCAAAACCTATCTTTTTATTTCTACTAGAACAGTGGTTTGTATTTGCTAATTCAATGTTTGTGGTGCCTTACTAAACCATCACTACTAAAAATAATGACAATTGACTGCATTTTAAACTACTAATTCAATTTATTTAATGATTATATGTCCAGTAGGTTTTTCCTTTCTTTGTAAATCATTTTTCTTAATTTAAATTTACTTTGAAAATTGTTCATTTCATAAATGTTTTTGCCACTGTAGAGATTTTTTAAATTTCTACAATATCTGTGTTCATGTCCTTTTTTCCCTTCCTAAAATTGTCCAGTTTTGCTCTTTCTCTTTTTTCATTGATAAATCTTACCAGGCCTATTCTGTTTTAAATCTTTTGATGGTTTTGTAAAACCTTTCCATTTTCCTTTTCTTTTATATTTTATTAACATCTCTTTTACCTCATTCCTTCTACTGAGTTAGCTCCTCATCATTTTTAATTTTCCAAGCTTGTAGGTTAAATATTGTGTCTCTTTGTGTTTTCTAATATATAAATTTAAATATAAAAATTGTCATGTTTTTATTTTACAAGTATTTTATTTCCCATGTCATTTAATTCTAATGACAGGCTCAGAACATCTAATCTAGATATGGCACTTTAGGATACTATTTTAAGCTAAAAATTTTTGAGAAAACAGCAGAAGTAAAAGGGTCTCTCTGACCTTCTCCCACCCTCCTCCCCTAAAGCAGACCAAAAAACCTAGAAAGAATTTTCTAACCTCTCCCTGAAGTAGGGCATAAGACCTTCACATGAAAGATGACCACTATCTAACCAGAGGAAAGGAACATCTTTATTTCTAAAGAAAATGGAGCACAGAAAATAATCTAAACAAATAGGCATTACTAAGTTCCCTTCATTTATTACCATTAGATCACACTTCATTTGTTCAACCATATTTTTCCATGACTGCTCACTCTTCATCAAACTTAAGCATAAAAATACACAGGTTTCTACTTCTTTGGGTCTTCATTTTCTAATGAAGGCTCCTGTATCACATAAAATTTACATTAAATAAATTTGTATATAACTTTGTAATTAAATATGTTCATATGTATGTCTTGTTAATCTGTCTTTTGTTATATGTGCCTTCACTATGAACCTTCTAACAGGTGACAAAAAAAACTTTCTTTCCCTACAATAATTATTTGTAATTCACAGTATAATTTTTTTGGTTTAGGAATTTTTACCAAAGTGCTGAGTTTTTGTTTGCTTTACATTCCAAAAATATAGGCATTGCAATTTTCTTCTTCCTCCAATTTCCAAATTTACTACATTGAGGTTATAACACAAAGAATGAAAAATTATAATTTTGCACATACTTATTTGAGTTTATATTATGTGGTCATTTTGATAAGTGCTCTATGTGTGCTGGAAATGAGTGAACATTTTCTATGAATGCAAGGTTCTATATATTCATCAAATCCAACTTATTAAATATATTCTTTAAATTTTTATTATCCCCAAGAATTGTTTTTGTCTGTTTTATCATTCGTTGTCAAAAAGAAGTATTTTAAAATCACCCATTAAGATTTAGAATTTATTCATGATCTTCCTATTTCTGTTAATTATATATCTTTTACCCTGAGGTTAGGTTTTAAAGTATGTAAGTTTTCAGGATCTTTATATCTTTGTGATGCATTGTTCCTGTTTATTAATAAATTATCCTTTTTGTTCCTAGTGATGGTTTAAAAAAAATCTTAATACTCCTTCTGCCTTTGGTTAGCTTTTGTCTAAAGTAGGTGCTACCTTCAAGTCCTAAAATGGCAGTATAGGAGCAAGCTGGCTTTACTACCCTCCATAGGAAACTGAAAACAATTATGCAGTGCTAAGATTATCACCAGAAATATACCAGAACTCAAATATGAAGATAAGACAGTTCCTGAGACCACAGAGAAGTGGAAAAACTCCAAGCCAACAGAAAGAGACTCAGACTTTCATAGTCACAACAATCTTCCTGCAATCCACCTGACACTAAGTGCAGAGACAATTTCCTTTCAATTCATAGTTTCTACACTGGAAAAAGTGAGATTGAGGTGGCCAAGCAGCATTTCGGCTTCCCTGGCAGAAGATACGTTCATGCCTCAACCCACAGGAAACACTGGCAGTATCTAGAGGGAAGAATATCCTTGAGGATAGCCAGAGACAAAGGGTGGGACTATCATTCCTAGCTCCAGAAACAGTGTGCTATAATTCAGTCAAAGATGATGCCAAAACAGAAAGGCTGTTCAGCAGCACCATATAGTAGGAGGTTTGTTACACAGGTCTCCAGGGCATGGACCCCTAATCAGCCTACTCACACTTCTGGGATATCTCCTTTGGAATCTCCCCAGTTTGGGATGGGTGGCACTTGGACTATTTGCTAGAACGAAATCAAGCCTGGGCTTAAGGCACCATCTAGTGCCAAAAAGTAGGTGGCCACCTAGTGGGGGAAATAAAAGAAAAATGAATATCAACAGGCAAAATGTGAAGAATCTTTAAGCAAATATATCCCCCCAAAATCAAAACAAGTCAGACACAGAAGACTGGAATAAATAACTAATCCTTCAATGCAAAGACATAGCTGTACTTCCACAAAAAAAAACAGCAAACAAGGAACCATGGCCTCCTCAAATGGACAAAACAAGGAACTAGTGACCGACACTTACAAAGCAGTGACATGTAAACTCTCTTATCAAGAATTAAAAACAGCAGTTTTAAGAAACTCAGTGATCTCTAAACACAGAAAAGCAATTCAGAAACATATCAAGAACTTAAGAACTCATTAGAGGCTCTCAATAGAAGAATGTATCAAGCAGAGGAAAGAATCAGTGAGATAAAAGAAAGGTTATTTCAAAATGCTCAGAGGAGAGAAAAACAAGGAAAAAATGAAAATTTCCTAAGAGATATAGAAAATTACCTCAAAAGACCAAATCTAAGAATTATTTGTGTTCGAGATAGAGTTGAGCAAAAGGAAAGGATACAAAACTTGTTCAAAGATGTAATAAAATAAAATAAAAAGTTTCAAAACTTGGAAGAGAGTTAAATATTCAGGTACAGGAAGGTCAGAAAACAACAAAGAGATTTAATCCAAATAAGACCACCTCAATGTATTTAATAGTAAAACACTCAAAGGTAAGGACAAAGAGAGGATTCTAAAAGCAGCAAGTGAAAAGAAGCAAATAACATATAAAAGAGCTCCAATTCATCTGGCCACAAACACAATAAAAATCATTACAGGTCATGAGGGAATGGGACAACATTTTCAAAATGCTGAAAGAAAAAAAACTGCCATCCAAGAATATTGTCTCCAGCAAAGCTATCCTTCAAAAAAGGAGAGATAAAATCTTTCTCAGAAAAACAAAAGCTGAGAGAATTCACCACCACCAGACTCATTTTACAAGAAATGCTAAAGGGAGTTCTTCCTTCTGAAAGTAAAAAAAGTGCTAATATGCAAAATAAAACATTCGAAGGTATAAAACCCGTTGGCAAAATTAAGCACACAGATAAAACCAAAATATTCTAATATTGTAATTGTGGCATTCAATCCAGTCATAATTCTAGTATGAAGCCCAAAAAACAAATCTATCAAAAACAATCATAGCTACACCCACCTGTTAGGAGATAGGCAAAATTAAAATATGTAAATTAAGACAACATAAAGTCCAAATGAGGAAGGGATGCAGTTAAAGTGTTAAAGGTTTTCCTTTTTTTTCTTTCTTTGTTTCCATTTTTTTCTTTTGAGCTAAGATAAGTTGTTATCTGCTTAAGATAACTTGTTATATCTATATGATGTTTTTTGTAATCCTCATGATAACCACAATGCAAAAATCTACAATGGATTCATTAAAAATGAAAAGCAATGAATTAAAACATACTGTCAGAGAAAAATCACTTAACCACAAAAGAAGATAGTAAGAAAGGAAGAGAGAAGAAACAAAACAACCCAGAAAACAAGCAACAATATGGCAGTAGTAATTCCTTACTTATCATAATGGCAATGAAAGTAAATGGACTTATTCTCCAATTAAAAGGCATAGAGTGGCTGAATGGATTAAAACAAACAAATAAGACCTAACTTTGTGCTGCCTACAAGAAACCAACTTTACTTATAAAGACACACATAGACTGAAAGTAAAGAGGTGGAAAAAGATATTCTATGCAAATGGAAACCCAAAAAAGCAGGAGTAACTATACTTATATCAAATGACAAGACTACAAATCAGAACTGCAAAAATGAGACCAAGAAGGTCACTATTTAATGATAAACGAATGAATTCAGGAAAATGATGTAACAATTATAACTATCTATGCATACAATACCAAGTATATAAAGCAAACATTAATAAACTTAAAGGGAGAGATAGGCTGCAATCCAATAATAGTAAGGAATTTCAACATCCCACTCTCCCTAATAGACAGATTATCCAGACAGATAATGAACAAAGAAACATCGGCATTAAATTACACACTAGATCTAATAGGACCAACTGACATTTACAGAACATTTCACTCAGCTGCTGCAGAACACACATTCTCTTCATCAGCACATGGAACATTCTTCAGAATAGATCATGTTTTAATCCACAAAATGAGTCTCAACAGATTTTAAAAAATAGAAATCATATATAGTGTCTTTTCTGACCAAAGTGAAATAAAACTAGAACTCAATAACCAGTAAAACTTCAGAAACCACACAAACACATGGAAATTAAACAATATGCTCCTGAATAACCAATGGGCAAAAATGAAATTAAGAAGAAAAATTTAAAATTTCTTAACATGAATGAAAATGGAAACACAACATACCAAAATCTGTGGGATACATCAAAGGTAATATGAAAAGGCAAGTTTATTGCAATAAACACCTATATCAAAAAAGTAAAAAGACCTGGAATAAGCAACCTACTGAAACACCTCAAGGAACTAGAAAAGCAGGAACAAACCAAACACAAAATTAGTAGAAGGATAAAATCATAATAAAGATTAGAGCAGAAATAAAATGGTAATAAAAATACAGATTAAATGAAAAGTCGGTTTTTTGAAAAGTTACGCAAAATCAATAAATCTTCAGCTAGACTAAGAAAAAAAGAGAAAAGATACAAATAAATAAAATCAGAAATGAAAATGCAGACCTAACAACTGAGAACACAGAAATATAAAGAATCATTAGAGCCTATTACCATAAACTTAAACAAATTGGAGAACTTAGAAAAAAACTGATAAATTCCTAGGTATATATAATTTCCCAAGATTGAACCATGAAGAAATACAAAACCTCAACAAACCAATACTGAGTAATAAGATCAAAGCTGTAATAAAAAAAAAAATCCCATCAAAGAAAAGCCCAGAACCTGGTGGCTTCACCTCTGCATTCTACCAAACATTTTGCAATTGGGCAATAAAAAGAAAAAAAGGCATCCAAATTGGAAAGAAAGAAGTCAAATTAGCCTTTTTCACAGATGACATAATCTCATATTTAGAAAAACCTAAAGACTCTACCAAGAAACTCTTTGAACTGATAAATTCAGTAAGTTGCAGGATGCAAAATCAACTTACAAAATCAGTGGCATTTATATAAACCAACAATGAAATATCTGAAAAGGATGTCATGAGAGCAATCCTATTTACAATAGTTAAAAATAATATAAACTACCTAGGGATCAATTTAACCAAAGAAGTGACAGACTTGAGAAGGAAAATTATTATAAAACACTGGTAAGATAAATTGAAGAAGAAGGAGGCAGAACAAGATGTCCAAAAAGTAGCCGCCACTGAATGTCTTCCCCAGAGGAACACCAAATTAACAACTATCTACACAAAAAAAGTCTTCATCTGAACCAAAAATCAGGTGAATGCTAACAGTATCTGGTTTTAACTTTGTTCACTGAAAGAATGAAGGAGAGAAAAGACAGTCTTAAATTTCTGATGCCACCCTCCCCATCACCCTGCAGCAGCCATGTGGCACAGAGTATCTGTGCACTTGAGGGAGGGAAGCGAAGTGATTGTGGAACTTCACATTGGAACTCAGTGCTCCCCTGTCACAGCAAAAATAATACTGGGTAGAACTCAATAAACACCCACAAAAGGAGCATTTAGGCCAGCCCTAGCCAGAGGGGAGTCATCCATCCTAGCTCTCTGAATTTGAGTTCCAGCAAGCCTCACTACCTTGGGCTAAGCTGTTCTGGGATCCTAAATAAACTAGAAAGTCAGTCTAGGCCACAAGGACTGCAACTGCTAGGCAAGCTGTAATGCTGTGCTGGGCTTTGAGCCAGTGGACTTGAGAGGCACATGACCTAGTGAGACACCAGCTGGAGGGGCCAACGGAATGCTTGTCCCAACCTTCCCCCAACCCCAGGCAGCACAGCTCACAGCTCTGAAAGAGAATTCTTCCTTCCACTGGGGGAGAAGAGAGAGAGAAGAGTAAAGAGAAGTTCCACTTGCGACTTGGATACCGTCTCAGCCACAGTAAAATAGGATACCAGAGAGAGTCGTGAGACCGCATTTCAGGCCCTAGATCTGGATGAAATTCCTAGCACACCCTGGGCCAGAAGAGAACCCCCTACCTTAAAGGGAAGGACCCAGTCCTGGTAGGAGTAGTCACCTACTGACTAAAAAGCCCCTGGTCCTTGAATTATCAGCCACAGTAGCCAGGTAGTACATGCCATGGGCCGTGAACAAGAATCTGAAACATGCTATCTCCAAGTGTGACCCATCATATTTCCACATGTAGTGGCTATAATGAGAGACTCTTTCTGCATAAGTAAAAAGTGTTTTTGTCTTCCACCGTAGGTACCAGCTCTGACAGAGTGGGGTAGAACATAAAGTGGGCTTGTGCGATCTCTGATTTAAGGACTTGGCTCTTGGATGACATTTTTGGACCTGACCTGGGTTAGAAGGGAGCCCAGTTTCCTGAAGGGTGAGTCCCAGGCCTGGCAGCATTCACCACAAGCTGACTAAAACACCCATGGCCTTTGAGTGAACATCAGTGGTGGCCTGGCAGTAGCCCCCATGATCCTATGGTGGTGTGGCCATGGAGAGAAACTTCTCTGTCTGTGGAAAGAGCAAGGAAGAGTAGGAAGAACTTTGTTTTGTGGTTTGAGTGTCAGCTCATCTGCAGTAGAATAGAGCACCAGGTAGATTCCTAAGGTTTCTGACTCCAGGCCCTGGCTCCTGGCGGGCATTTCTGGGCCTTTCTATGACCTGGGAGAACTTGTCACCTTGAAGGGAAGGACATAAGGCTGGCTGACTTTGTCACCTGCTGATTTTAGAGCCTTAGATCCTTGAGCAAACATGGGCAGTAGTCAGATAGTGGTTACAGCAGGACTTGGTCAAGATCCAGTGTTGTGCTGGCTTCAGGCCTGACCCAGCACAGTCCCAGTGGCAGTGGCCACTTGGGTGCTTGTGTCACCCCTCCCCCAGCTCCAGATAGCTCAATACAGAAAGAGAGAGAGAGACTCCCTTTGTCTGGGAGAAAGTAAGGGAATAGAACAAGATTCTCTTTTTGGTAATCCAGATAATTTTTTATGATCTTATTTAAGACCACAAAGGTGATACCTCTATAGATCTGAAACAGCCATAGCATTACTGGGCTTGGGGTGCTCCCTAATGCAGATATGGCTGCAGTGACCAAAAACTGCAATAATCACAACATCCAAGTCCCTTCGAGTACCTGGAAAGCCTTCCGAAGACGGATGGGTACAAACAAGCCAAGACTGTGAATACCACAATAAATACCTAACTCTTCAATGCCCTGACACCAGAAAATATCTGCAAGCATCAAGACCATCCAGAAAAACAAGACTTCACTAAATGAACTGAATAAGACACCAAGGACCAACACAGAGAAACAGAGATATGTGACCTTTCAGACAGAGAACTCAAACTAGCTGTTTTGAGAAAACTCAGTGAAATTAAAAACAACACAAAGAAAGAATTCAAAATTCTATCAGACACATTTAACAAAGAGATTGAATTAAAAATCAAGCCAAAAGTCTAGAGTTCAAAAATGCAATCAACATACTGAAGGATGCATCAGAGTCTCTTAACAGTGGAACTGATCAAGCAGGGGAAATAATTGTTGAGCTTGAAGACAGGTTATTTGAAAATGCACTGCCAGAGGAGACAAAAGAAAAAAGAATGAAAAAAAAAACAACAAAAAAAAACAAAAAACGAAGCAATGTTGAGACTTGGGAACTTGGTAGATAGATGCAGGGCTGACATGCAACTTCCATTTGGATGGATGGAACAGTGTGTGGAGACCCATACTGTGCACTTTTGCTCCAGGAACCACTGCAGGAGCATACCAGGAAAACTAATAATTCACAGATTCTTTAAATAAAAAAGCACCAAGCCACTGCAAATCCCATGAGACAAGCAAAAAACTGCGAGTTCCCAAAGTGCGAGAGGGGGAAATCCTGCCTCTGAACACATGTCCCCCCTGGAAACCCAAAAATCCAGATTACAGGAGAAGGATTTAACCTTACCCAGAGCTGAAATGAATTTAGAATAAAATATAAAACTAGAAGCAGCAGTGGAAGAAGCCTTGTAGGCACAGCCATTCTCCAGCTCAAGCCCAGGGAAGCCATCCCTGACTAAGTCTCATGGGGACACTCGGAAAAGGCAACTGGTGCAGTTTGGGAGGGGTCACAAGGTGAAAGAAACTTCCAGCCGAACTTTGTAATAATTTTGACTGGGTAAAACTCTTTTGAGCGTAATTTGGGTGTGAATGGGAACTGCTCCAGAAAGAAGAGCAAGAGTAGTGACAGACAGTGTGGGCAGACAGGAAGGGGCATGGCCTGAAAGCCATGTTTGTTTTCTCAGCAGGAAAACTTATAGCCTGGGGCTAGGTTTTAGTCCTGCACACAGGCTGCCTGGATATAAACTCGGCTCTGTTAGTGGGGCATGGCAGGAGCAAGACCAGCCTCACCAACTGCATGGGAGCTGGGTGAGGCCCATTGCTACTGGCTTTTCCCCAATTCCCTGGGGACAGAGGCAGCCATAATCCCCTCTGCACTATTACCTTGGATCATTTACAAACTCAGATTTTCATTAGAGATTAAAAAAAGAAATCTTCTATCCTTTCTAAGCCAGTTATTTTGTATTATTGAGGCATCCAAATCACTATGCTTTTCTTTTGGCCAGTTCTTGGATGGGCCTGGAAGTTGGGAGAGAGGTGATGCAGAAGAAAGAAGTCTGGTACGAAAAAATTAATATGCATAACTGGTAAATGGAAGGCATTAAACCAGGTATCCAGGTATTGGACTTGAGATACTGTACACCAGAGATCCCAAAGAGGCTGGAGCGAGCTTTCAAGAACATTAGCAGAAAAAAAAGTTGTCATGGGAACAAAACAAAGAATGAGAGAAAGGTGGGACAGAGTGAAAACCATCAATAATATTAGAGTGCAAAGGGCTCATTTTAATCAATAATCAGTCACAAGGTATGTTGATGAGTTGGCCTGAGTTAAAAGCAGAGCAGACACCAAACATTTTTTATCTCATTATCTCCCTTATAAATGTTTTAGATTTTCAAACAGAAATTAATTTCCATTTCTGGTGTTATTTTGATTAACTTGCTCATAGAAAAGCAAGAAGAACAAAGATGATTTTATATAATTTTTAGAAATTACTTATAAATTTAATAAATCTTAAATTTATTTTTGTTTCTTTAAAATATTGTATAAGTAGCCCTTGCTTCACACAGTCGTGTGGCATCATAAAAATGATCATGCAAGCTGAAACTATGCAAACCATCTTATCAATGAGAAAAATTGCAATTGTCTGTGGCCTTTTAAAATCTTTATCAAAACATTGAAAACTCTTTTCCTATTGGTTATAAATGTATAGGGAAATAAAAAATAGTGAACCCAATGTGTATTTAATACACAGTAATTTAAAACATTAGAAACATGATTTCTTGTCTTGTAAAAACTTACCGAGAATAGTTCAAAACAGTGCTTGCCTTCCTCTCATTTATAATTCTTCGTATGAATCAAGCATCTTTGTTATGCCTTGGCAAATTGTCATATTCCTTTCCAACTTTGAATCAGCTTCCAAAATTTTATGCTTTGTGCTTTCCATGTCATGAAGCATCTCTAAGTGTGGCTTTAATGTGAAGTTGTTATTGCCAGTGTCAATTCTTCTGGAACATATTTATCCTTTAATCATGGCCACTTTCCCTATTATGTTGGTAAGTTCACCTCTTGCTTTGCTCCAGCTGTATATCTAGTGTTTCCAACGATGGCCTTATCAACATTTTCACATCAGCTATTTCTTCTATAACTCCATTTACATTATCCTCACATTTCAATATTTTCACTTTGGTTTCTTTGCTGCACATTCATCTTTGTTAGCCAATTTCCTCTTTATCCATTTCTATAAAATGCCACATGGTTTCATCAACTAGAGACAAATACAACAAAACACTTTGCTGTTTGTGAGTGAACCAAATAACAGTAGTGCAGTAACTATTAATCACCCAATTTTGGAAGAAGTGATGTGGTTGGTCATATATCATGATGAACATCATCTTTTATTTGCATTTTGATTTGTGAACTGAAGAGCTAGCAGCCAAGTTTGTACCTTATGCAATTACTTGCAGTTAATATACAATGATAATTGAAATTTTAACCATGTTTTTGAGGGACAGACACTATTTAACTAACTGGTAACTGTGATTTATGTATGCCTGAACAATGCAAAGTGCTACCTGTATTTGTTGTTCTCATTCTACAATATATGCATGCTACAAAATTTAAGAAATACAAAATGTGTATAATAAAAAGTAATTTCCTTCTACCTCAGTCTCTCAGCCACTCACCACTCAAATAATTTCTCCAAGTACATTTTCTGGAAGCATCCTTCACATAGGCAAACATACATATCTGTGTGTGTGTATAATAGCATAATATATACACATAATAGTATTTTTATTGTTCTAAACCTACCTTTTTATTACTTATCTTTGAAGTAATTCCACATAAGTACTTATCTTATTCTTATCTTTCATATAGTTGCATATAATAAATAGTTTATATGTTATCTTGAAGAGATAAATTATAATCTGACCAATTGCTTAATGATAAATATTTATATATTCTCCATTTTAAAATCAAAAAAAATTTTTTTTTGAGACAGTCTCACTCTGTCATCCAGGCTGGAGTGCAGTGGCATGATCTCGGCTCACTGCAAGCTCCACCTCCTGGGTTCATGCCATTCTCCTGCCTCAGCTTCCCAAGTAGCTGGGACTACAGGCACCCGCCACCATGCCCGGCTAATTTTTTGTATTTTTAGTAGAGACGGGGTTTCATCGTGTTAGCCAGGATGGTCTCGATCTCCTGACCTCGTGATCCACCTGCCTCGGCCTCCCAAAGTGCTGGGATTACAGGTGTAAGCCACCGCGCCCGGCCTAAAATCAAAATTTAACAATAATAGGCCAGGTATGGTGGTTCATGCCAGTAATTCTAGCACTTTGAGAGGCCAAGGCAAGAGGCTCTTGTGATGCCAGAAGATCAAGCCAAGACTGGGCGACATAGTGAGACCCTAACTCTACAAAAAATTTTAAAAATTACCTGGGTGTGGTAGTCCTAGCTACTCGGGAGGCTGAGGCAGGAGAATCCTAACCGATAGAATTGATAGGATGCCAAGGAATTATTGATTGGTAATAATCCACATTCAATATTCAATATTGAACATAAATACGTTTGATTAATATCCTAGTCTGAGATAGATAGATAGATAGATAGATAGATAGATAGATAGATAGATATGTAGATGACAGATAGATAGACAGATATTCAGATTAGCCCATAAATTATGGCAGTTGTCTTCCTCCCTAGGCTTCTTATACTCACATCATTGATGTTCTTTGCTCTTATTTCTCTGTAGTGAGCCTTCGTGCTTGATGTTAAATCCTCCTTGACTTTTGGGAATGGGAAGTCACCACCCTTGGTCAGCTGCCTGACACCTTTCTGTGACTGCAACATTATATGAGATCTTCCTCACCTCAGACAGTTTGGCTGATACCCTCCTTTTCTTCAATGCCACTCTCTCCCCATAAATCAGCAAGCAGCAGAAATGTGTGTGACAAAAAAATTATGTTTTCCCTAAAGCCCAACTGAACCAAATTTCTGTTGCATTTAATTGTCACTGTATTTTTTAAATCCAGAATCTCTTCTCTGTCTCAATCAGCTATCCCATCAAGCTGCCTGTCAACCTATCTTCAGTGGGATATTCATATTATTTCTCATGAAGATTTCTTTACATAAATATTTTCTTTCCTAATTTTGCACCACATTTTTCTCCTTACTTCTTTTTTAAACCCTGTTTCTTAAACTGAAAATCCCATTCTACTTTGGCACATTAAAAACAGTTCAACAGATGTTGCACCCATTCATGTATGTTTTCTCTTTTTACACAAGAATAGAGAATTGGCAGAGGAAGTGAATCTCTGTTGATCTGCACTTGATGCTGGTACCATCAATGCCTTCCTCAGAGTGCACCTTCCCATCTGCAAGCCTCACTGTAGGCCAGCAGCTAGGAAGATACTAAATTATTTTATTGCATGCCACTTTTATGCTCATTCTTTATCTGGTGAAACTGTACAATGACTGTTCTGTTCTTTTTCAGTGTAAATGTCTAAAAATATTGTCACTGGATTTATTGATATTGTGGAGTTTTTGTTGTTGTTTTGTTTGTCTTCTGTATTCTGCAGTGATTTCCCATCATGTCTGGGTATTTGATTTTCCTGAAAGAGAAAACAATCTCTGAAGAAAAATAATTCCTAGTTCAGAATTTTCCCACGTTAAACTTTTGCAAAAACTTGATAAGAGTTATGTATAATTTGGTCTATACTTAGTGTTTATATGATTATAGTAGAGACTTTTCCAACTTAAGAGTATGTATAAAGAGCAACTAAATATCTGCATAAACAAAAATTCAACTTAACAGATGTTTCATCAGCTTGTCACTAAACATACACATGATTACATGAATTATTTTACATCACTCAACACATTTATTCAGTTTCCACTCCTTGCCTAACACTTCAGTTAAGCACTTCAGGAATACAGAACTGTAAGATTCCTTTTTTTCAAGTGTCGAGCTTCTTAGTCAGTGTGACATAAATGAATATACTGTAACCAACTAGAGAATAGCATTTATTTTTGGTCATCTATATAAGGAGGATTTTCATTATAAGGAAGCAAAAACTGTAATTCAGTTGCCCAAAGCCTGTCATTTACCAATTTTAGGGCTAATGTGTCTTCCAATATGAAAACATGAAATGTAGTATAAAGTGCCAGTCTTCTTTGTCATTTTACTACAATACTTTCACATAATTAGTGCTCTATAAACACTGAATAAATGAAAAACTAATTGAATATATATTATGATTTAGATGTCATTGTACTAATGTTCTGTAAGAATTTACATAACTGTCATTCACAAAATCTGTTTTAAATGTATGAATTAAAGTTTTACTTTTATCTTTGTCTTGAGCCATCCAATTAAGAACAGTAAAATAGATCCCTAATTTAAATATTTTTTAGAATTAGTTGCATCATAATAAAAAGAGTAGCCTTATCTTATACCTAACTCAGTGACTTCAACTTAATAAAATGTGTCTTAAACTAGTTCTGAAAGTTCAATAAAAGTTATTCTTAGAAATACAAGGAAAGAGATTTTCTGGATCTCTTATGAACCCTCATTATTTACATGTGTAAATGTATGAAAGCTCCAATCCTTGGAGAATTTATCTATCCTAGCTAAAGCTAAGAATGTTGAGAGAAAAACAAAGGCACATTTTTTAAACTTTCAAACTATGAAATGTAATTCATTTGTATCATTAGAAGTCATTCATTCATTTGTGAGCCTTAAGTAACTTCAGAACTTATGATGCTAGTAATAATTATAAGAATGTAAAACCAAACTCTTTCTAGCAAAATACAGATAAATATTGAAAAGTGGACAAGATTCTATTTGTGTTCTGACAAAAAATAAGGCTAAGTGTGGCTTAGACTGCAAGGGAGAATTTCCAGGTTTCAGAGCTTTATAGAAATGAACCTCAAACACAAAAAGAAGTCCTGTTTTTAATGGAAGAAATTGTGCTGTTATTGCCATAGTGCCTGCATGGAGCTATTGAACAGGAACACTTTTTTTCATTCAAACAATGACTTCTAATTAAAACCTAATAAAATGTAAACCAGAACCTGAAATGTTTTTAAGCTGTGACTGGATGATTAGCTTCAGTGATGATGTTAAGAAGATTCCTAGATGGGTCAGGCATTAGACTTCTGGGATGATTTCCAAGGGCCTGTGGTAATTTGGTAGCCCCCCTCCCAACTTTTCATTAAAGTAATATCTTTATAACTTGAAAATATTTTAATTTGGACAATATCACTTAGTTTTTCAGTGAATGAATAGTCTGATCAGTCAGAAAAGTCAAGTACCTTCATACTTAGAAAATGCGTTCTTGGTTACAAATTGTACTCTTCATTCAGAAAATAGCCTTCAAATGTGTTCAGTTAAGATACATCCACAAACACCTGTCTACATTATTGAAAAGAAAACCCAAAGCACATGTTGCATCAGTAGTGGCATCTTCACACATTTGACAGTTCATTCATAATTTGGGAAATACCTATTTAAAAACTAGACCCCAAATTTTCAGCCCCCCGAGAAATTTTATTCTAGTTAGTATTGAAAGTCAAAAAAGATTTAAAAAACAAGTAAATAAATAACACAGCATGTTAAAACATGGCAGTGCTGTGGAAAACAAAATAGAGCTTGTTAAGAGGGCCAATATATTGTGGGGACTGAGTTGCATTCTAAATGGGAGATCAAAATAAATTTCATTGAAAGGATAACATTTAAATAAATACTTGAAGAGGAAAGACTTAACCATGTAAATATATTGGAGAGTATGTTCCAGATAAGAGGAAGACCCAACGCAAAGGACCTGAGGCAGAAGCCCACCTGGCATGTTCAAAGACCACAAGAAGGCCAGTGTTATTGGAACAAAGGGAGAAAAATAAATGATTGATCCTGAAATGTGGTGAATTCAGAGATGCAGCAAGAAACCAGGCTATGTGGAGTCTTCTAAGCCATTGAAAGTACCACTGGTTTTACTCTAAGACCAAAATGAAGCCATCATAAGGTTTTGAGAAAGGGGATGGCTTGATCTAACTTACTTTTTGTAATGGGTCTGGCTGGCCACGGTGTGTCGAACCAGTGCATTAAAATATCAATTAGTTGACATCAATAATAATTAAATTCAAAGGCTGATACCAAGCCCTAATTCTACTTGATCTCTTTACATCACTAATCACTTTTGAACATTGTCTGGGGACTGGAAAGACCCACGTGGCAAACTCAAACAGCATAGGCAATTGATGGGCATGCATTAAAGGAACTATTTACAAAGATGTGAACAAGGTTAAATGAAACTAAGAGTCAACCATGAAATCATCCAAAGTTAGAAATAGCAGGGAGCTGTTACAACCCCTGGGTCAGAAGGACAAGGTGAATGAATAGTGGTTGTCATAACTTAGGAGTAATTTCTGTAGCTATAGGAGAGGATACTACAAGAGTCATGTCTCTAAGTAGGGTGCTGGAGCAACGAGCATCACAGATCTTAAGTGCAGATTTGTTCCAATGCTGTTGATATGTTGCAAAATAATTTGAATATAACCAAATTTGATTTTTTCTTATGCACAAATTCACATATAGGAAATACTAGGTGAACAGACAAAATTGCAGAATTGAACCACACTTGGTAGGAATACACAAAACACACACATACATTCACCTCAAATATCTCCCAGCTACCTCAGTTCATTGAGTGTGTTATGATCCACATCCATTCACATCTGGTATTACAAATTTTCTTCCAATTTCAGATGATATTTTTTCTACCACTTCATAGTACCTCACAATCTGCAACCTTTCTAATACCCACAAGCATACTTCAGGTGCTCTTCAAGGTAAAGTACCATATTGATTGTCATATTTATGAGTATTCTTAAGCATTTAACAAGTACAAAACTGTTCTGCAGCTTTTATTAGGTTCCCATCTTTGTGTGTATGTGTGTCACTGACAAAGTTTTTGAATGTTGTGCCCCTAATACCATCTTCCCATAACTCTGTGGTTTTAATGGCATTATTTTACACACTGTGGTGATTTTTACGAATTCATATGTCCTGGTAGAGTGAAACTAACTGTAAATACCAAGTCCTCAATCACATTTCTCTTTCCAGTTTCTGCTGATGCCTCTTAGGTAATGCCCAAAACCAACAGGAAGCCAGAGGAAAGAATCCCACTCTTGTACTCCATAAAGGGCAACCTCCTGGACATACTGCAAGGTGGAAAAGGGTGGAGAGCGGGTTTGAAAATGCAATGTGAAAGAATGCAGCACAGAAACCTTTTTTAGTTTAAAATCCTCTCCTTTGATTGCTAGCACCTAGCTACTCAAAATGTGGTCCAGGGATCAACAGCATTAGCATCTCCCGAGAGCATGTTAGAATAACAGACTGTTGGGCCTTTCCACAGAACTACTGAATCAAAGTTTGCCTTTCAAAAAAAATCCCTCAAGTGATTTGTATACACATTAAAGTTTAAGAAGCACTGTTCTCAAATCTTATTTTATTGTGTCTTCTCCTATCTCTTACCTCCTTGGCAACTGTCTTGCTGTATCTTTTCCTAATGCCTCTTTGTCTTCTTCCTCTACAAAAGTTTCAAAGTTGTGATAGACCACAACTGGCCTGTAACCTGAAGAAATTTCAATGGTGCGTGAACTTTGGTTTCAAAAAGATCATTCCCATCCTGGTAGCTAGCTCCAAAGATACTACACGAAGTAAAATAGCATCTGTTCCCAAGAAACCAGGTCAAAATCATTAGAGTTAAGCTTAACTAATTCATGCTGACTCAAACAGAAAATGCTGTGCCAATTTGCATGAAAAATAAAATAAAATGCTTGAGCCAATCATAATAACAAATGGATACTTGTTAATAAATATAGATTTATTTTACCTTTATAAAATAGTGAGGCCTCAGGAACTTAGTTGGCTACAAATTCTTGATTAGTTAAATTTAGTAAATAACTTAATCTTTATGCTTTACTTTCCACACCTGCCAACTGAAAGAACCGTAAACTTCACACTCCCTGTCCCCCATCAGTTCTCCCAGAATATTCTCCCAGTTACTATTCTCAAGTCCTTAGAATTGTCTTTGACTCAATTCGGTTATTGATCTCACTTTTGGAAGCCAAATAATCACTGAATCTTAACAACTCTTTTTTTTCTCAATGCCCCATATCTTTTTCATTTTTTCTATTCGCATTTCTAAATTTCTGGGTAATATCCTTATCACCACTTACCTTGGGATACACAAACAACCTCCTATGTCATCTTTCTAAATTTATTGTTTTCTTTCATCAGTTAGTTCTACCCCAACTTCCAGGAGATCATCACTGCCTCCAGAGTAAATTAAAATTTATGACTGTCCCCAGTCTAAAAGTTACAATTCCTGATAATTTGGTCCCAAACTAGCATTCCAAATTTGTATTGGAATCTGCATGATAGCCTTAGCAGCTCCATCTCCAGCCACAGATGAGGTGACAGTCTCTATAGTTGCATTCCTTACTATAAGTATATATAAACACATTGGAGAATCCCTAATTTCTGCCTATTGCATGCCCATCTAAATTCTGCTCTCCAAAGAGACCAGCCCAGAAAACCATGTCCAAAGTACATGGTTGGTCACTTCTGGGCCGGTCTCTTTGATTTTTATTAGTTTTTGCTCTTGGTGCTATTTTTTGAGACATCCCTTGATTCTGTGTTTCAGTCATAGGTCATATCTTTCTTCCTTCAGGGCTCAATCTGGGAAAACTTCAGCTCATGTCAGTGTACCTGGACCCTTTTTTTGGTTGAGAGATGGTTGTACAAATCTTATTTCTAGTTCATTCCAATTCTCTAGTTCTCTAACCAAAATAGTTTCTGGAACGTTTTATCCCCCCATGAAGTAAATATGCTCTCCTTTTATCTCCAAATGTACAAATTGTATCCATTCTTCAAGAACCAGCTAGAATCCACTTTCTGCATAGGGATTCAATTCCACACCACTTCTGCCACACCAGTCAACCCTCCTTTCTTCACTTCCAGGTATTTTTGTTTTCTGTATTAGTCTTTATTTTCAGTTAAGATTCCTATGGTTTAGTGATATTGGGCACACTTCTTCTGATTGCTTAACTCATGTTTATGCCTTACCTCCCTAACAGGGCCAGGAACAAAGTCTAATTTCCTTCACGTGCCTTAGAAGTTTTTCTTGTACTCTATAATATTTGTTTATTGAAGTCATAACAAATACTCTCTTTTTTTAATGGAAGAAGAGGCTTTTTCTTAATGGAAAACATTTGGTAGGTTCTGGACACTGTGAAGGTGTATGCAAGTACTACAAATGCTATCCACATGCTGACAGATTAACAATGCTTTTAAAAGTCACCATTAAGGATGCAATTCAAGTCTACTTACCGTTAAGTTTCAATCCCCCACCAATTTCCTTTTCCAGTGGCCATTCTGTTCTCAATTACATTGTCTCTATAATACTATTTAACTTTAACCATTAGAGAACAGGTTAAAATGGATCCATAACTAAATTGATCTCAAAAAGCTATTAATGCTGATGTTTATTACAATGCTTTCTATGTTAATATATATTAAATGTGTTCATCGCCTGTCTGAAACATTATTCCACTGTATTAAACATACATGTAGACACATGTATATCTTACATGCATAAATATTTAATTTTATATACATGTGTAAATAGAAAGCTATTTGCTTCTAATATGTTGTGGTAAGTTTATATGTAAGAAAAGTTACAAAAGAGCTTCCAATATTAATAAACTTAGAATGGTCAGTAAATTTAAGTGAGTGGTCAAATAGGACAGCAAGGGAAAGCCATTGCTATATTCCCAAGTACTCACAGTTTAGAAGGCTGGATATGTAGAGAGACTATAGTGTATGGCACCTCCCCACTCCCTCTCTCTCTTGCTCCCATTTTCACCATGTGACAAATCTCCTCACCTTCACCTTCTTCCATGATTGTAAGCTTCCTGAGGCCTCCCTAGAAGTCAAGCAAATGTCAACACCCTGCTTCCTGTAAAGCCTGCAGACCTGTGAGCCAATTAAACTTCTTTTCTGTAGACACCACCCAGTCTCATATATTTCTTTACAGCAATGGAAGAATGGCAGAAATTTGGTACTGAAGAGGGCATTGCTATAAAGATACCTGAGAATGTGAAAGCAGCTTTGGAACTGGGTAATGGGCAGGGCTTGGAAGAGTTCAGAGGGCTCGGAAGAAGACAGAAAAGTTTGGAACTTTTTAGAGACTGGTTAAATACTTGTGACTAAAATGCTGATAGTGATATGGACGGTGAAGTCCAGGCTACCAAGGTCTCAGATGGAAATGAGGAATTTATTGGGAACCAAAGCAAAGGTCACCAGTGGTATGCATTAGTAAAGCATTTGGCTGCATTCTGTTCATACTCTGGGGATCTGTGGAAGTTTTTGAACTTCAAAGTGATGATTTAGAGTATCTAGCAGAAGAAATTTCTTAGCAGCAAAGTGTTCAACATGTGGCTTGACTCCTTCTAACAGTTTATGCTCATATGTGGGAATAAAGAAATGACCTAAAGTTGGAAGTTATATTTAAAAGAGAAGCAGAGCATAAAAATTTGGAAAATATGCTGTTGGAAAATCTGCTATAAGAATTTGCAAAATTGTTAGGAGAGGAATTTAAGTAGGCTGCAGAGCAACCTATTGCTAGAGAAATTTGCATAATTGAAAAAGAGCCAAGTGCTCTTATCCAAGACAATGGGGAAAAGGCCTCAAAGGCATTTCAGAGATCTTCCCCTCAGCCACTCCCATCACAGGCCCAGAGGCTTAGGAAGAAAGAATGGTTTTGTTGAGCAGGCCCAGGGCCTCACTTCCCTGTGCAGCCTGGGACATTGCTTCCCATATCCTGGCTGCTCCAACTCCAGGGAGGGCTCGAATAGGCCCAAATACAGCTTCAACTGCTACTTTGGAGAATGCAAGACATAAGCCTTGGCAGCTTCCACATGGTGTTAAGCCTGCAGGTGCATAGAATGCAAGTGTTAAGGAGGTTTTGCCTCCACTTAGATTTCAGAGTATGTATGTAAAAGCCTGGGTGTCCAGGTAGAAGCCTGTTACAGGGGCAAAGCCCTCACAGAGAACCTCTACTAGGGCAGTGAGGAGGGGAAATATGGGGTCAGAGCCCCCACACGTTCTCACTGTGGTATTGCCTAGTGGAGCTGTGGAAAGGGGGCTGCCACCCTCCAGATCCCAGAATAGTAGATCTACCAGCAGCTTGCACCCCACACTTGGAAAAGCCACAGGTACTGAACAAACTATGAGAGCAGCCATAGGGGCTAAACCCTGCAATGCCACAGAAGCAGATTCCTAAAGCCTTGGGAGCCTACCCCTTGCATCAACGTGCCCTGGATATGGGACACAGAATCAAAGGAGATTATTTTGGAGCTTTAAGGTGTAATGACTCCCCTGTTGGGTTTAAAACTTACACAGGGCCTGTAGACCCTCTCTTTGGTCTGATTTCTCCCTTTTGGAATGGAAATGTTTATGCAGTGCCCATACCCCCATTGTATCTTGGAAGTAATTAACTTGTTTATTTTATAGGGTTATAAGTAGAAGGGACTTACCTTGTCTCAGATAAGACTTTGGACTTTGGACTTTTGAGTTAATGCTAAAATAAGACTTTGAGGGGACTATTGAGAAGGGATGATTGTATTTTGCAATGTGAGAAAGACATGAGATTTAGAGGATCCAGAGGTTGAATGATATAGTATGGATATTTATCCCTAGCCAAATCTCATGTTGAATTGTAATCCCCAATGCTGAAAGTGGGGCCTAGTGGGACGTGTTTGGGTTATGGGAGTGGATCCCTCATGGTATGGTGATGCCTTCACAATGGTGAGTAATTTCTCATGAGATTTGGTCATTTTAAAAGTGTGTAGCATCTCCCCCCTCACTCTCTCTCCCTTGCTCACATTTTCACCTTGTTACATGCCTGCTCACCCTTCACCTTCTAGAAGCCAAGCAGATGCCAGCACCGTACTTCTTGTAAAGCCTGTAGAAGTGTGAGCCAATTAAGCCTATTTTCTTTATAAATAACCCAGTCTCATATATTTCTTGATAGCAATGCAAGAATGACCTGATACAGAGACCTGAAAAAATCACTAAGAAAAATTTATTTTCCACATGGCCAACTAAACCTCAGCAAAAAATACTTAACATTTCTAATAAGGAAAGAAAGAGAAAGAAAGAAAGAAAGAAAGAAAGAAAGAAAGAAAGAAAGAAAGAAAGAAAGAAAGAAAGAAAGAGAAAGAAAGAAAGAGAACTGAAGGACATGAGAACAATTTCTTTTTGTAATTATTAAACCAGAAAAAAATTGAAATATGGTAGTATTCAATACTGGTGAGACAAATATCCCCCACAGACTGACAAAGACTTTCTCCTCGATTAAACTTTAGTCAGGCTTCTGCAAATCGTCTGTGGACTAAGACTGGATCTACAACCCTTCAAGCCCCATTGCACCTGTGCTTGCCAAACCTGCATTGCCTAGTTTCAGCAAGAATCCTGCTCTCACTCAGAACCCCAAGTAAGCCCCTTTGAAGTCTTTGTCTTTACTCCTCCTGACTGGTTGATCAGGACTCCATTGCCGGGTCCATCTCCTAAACCAGTGCTCCAGAGGACAGTCCATTTAAGCACAGTAAGGACAGATTTTGATTCTTAAGATTCTCAGTATGCCCTCTGAAGCTATATTAGAGTCCCAGGCTTAAAATTACCTGTTTGAGCAATAATATTCTTAGATGGAAGTTTTCTCACCTTCTTGTTTCTAGTGGAGATGAACTTACAGACTCCTGGCCTGGAATTTTCTCCTAGATCTTCATGAGGCCTTTCTGTTAGAAGCTGAGTTAGAGTTCCAAGCAAACAAAGCTGAGTTAGTGTCCTCAGCTTCTGTTTGCAAGGTATTATTAATTAAGAACATGGGAGCTTTTAAGTCAGACTTCTCTCCCTTCTTGAAGTCCTGCCAACTATATGCTACCCAACTATGACACTAGCTCTTTCCTTTCTCGTTGTCATGATTTTGTTAAGGATAATTTGAAACTTTAGTGATCTCTTTTGGAAATATAAGATCACTCCAAACTGGCTTCTCTAAGACTACTTCTTTCCCGTTACGTCTGTTTCTCTTTCTTTCTTTTACTATTTTTGATTTTCCCTTTAGCTGCTTGAATCCTTTAATATGTCTCTCTTCAATCCCCCACCTCCTCTATCCCTCTGTCTATCTCTGCCAGACTTTTCCCTGTCTACATCAGCCCCTCAACTCCCTATAGTCACTATAACTTTAGCCCTCTACCCTCATCAGGTGTTTCAAAAGATTCAGGAATACCCAAAAGGAACCACCTGAGGCTGAAAAGGGAACAGAAAGTCTGATAGAAAACAGATTGGATATTTTATCCACTCAGATGGGATGCAGATACATCAGACAGTTATTTAATATCCCTGAGTCACGTATCTAAAATTTAGTACACAAATCTATAAGATTACATATCAGGGTAAAATGAAAAGTCTTAAAACTCACCTGCACAAATATTGGTAAAAAGTGTTAGCCTTCATATTGAGTAGGTAAACTTATTTCATCTGCCAGAAACACAATTGAGATTAAAAAATAAAGTGTAGATAAACCAGTGATATGGTTTGGATGCTTTATCCTCTCAAAATCTCATGTTAAAATGTGACCTCCAATGTTGGTGGTGGGCCTAATGGGAGGTGTTTCGGTCATGGGGTTGGATCCCTCATGAATGGCTTGGTGTCATCTTCACAGTAATAAGTTTTCTATGAGTTCACACAAGACCTGGTTGCTTAAAGGAGCCTGAAACTTCCTTCTTTCTCTCTTTCTCCCCATCTTACCATGTGATATACCAGCTCCCACTTCATTTTCTGCCATTATTGTAACCTTCCTGAGTTCCTGAGGCCTCACCAGAGGCAGGTGCTGGTGCCATACTTGTATATCCTGCAGAACTGTGAGCCAAAATAAACTTCTGTATAAATTATCCTGTCTTAGGTATTCTTTTATAGTAATACAAATGGACTAACACAGAAAATTGGTACTGAGGAATAGGGCATTACTATAAAAATACCTGAAAATTTGGAAACAGCTTTGGAACTGGGTAATGGAGAGAGGTTGGAAGAGTTTGGAGGGCTCAGAAGAAGACTGGAAGATAAGGGAAATTTTGGAACTTCTTAGAGATTTGTTAAATGGTTGTGACCAAAATACAGATGTAAATATGGACAGTGAAGGCCAGGATGACAAAGTCTCAGATGGAAATGAGGAAGTTACTGGGAAATGGACCAAAGACCACCCTTATTACACCTCAGCAGAGAACTTGGCTGCATTGTGTCCACGTCCTGTGGGTCTGTGGAGGTATAAACTTAAGAGTGATCACTTAAGGTATCTGGAAGCAAAAATTTCTAAGCAGCAAAGTGTTCAAGACATAGCCTGGGTGCTTCTAATAGCCCACAATCAGATACAGGAGCAAAGTAAGACTTAAAGTCAGAATTTATGAATAAAAAGGAAGCAGAGTTTAAAAGTTTGGAAAGCTCACAGCCTGGCCATGTTGTAGAGAAGGGAAGAGCATTTGCAGGAGAGAAGCTGAAGCTGGCTTCTAGGCAACCACTTGCTAGAGAGATTAGCCTGATTAAATGGGAAACAAGTGCTAATAGCCAAGACAATGGGGAAAAGGCCTTAAAGAGGCATTTCAGAGATTTCCCAGGCAGCCCCTCCCATCACAGTCCCAGAGGTTTAGGAGGAAAGTATGGTTTCTGGGTCCAGACATGTCCCATTGCCCTGCTCAGACTCAGGACACTGCTCCCCACATTCCAGCTGTTCTATCTACAGCCACAGCTCAAAGGGCCCCAGGTACAGCTCAGGCCACCACTCCAGAGGGTGCAAGCTATAAGCCTTGGTAACTTCCATGTGGTGCTAAGCCTTAAGGTGCACAGAATGCAGGCATGAAGAAGGCTTGGAATCTTCACCCTAGATTTCAGAAGATGTATGGGAAAGCCCAGGTGTCCAGGCAGAAGCCTTCTACAGAGGAAGAGCCTCTACTAGGACAGTACAAAGAGTTCCCTAACAGGACACTGCCCAAGGGAGCTATGGGAAGGTGGCCACCACCTTCTAAACCCCAGAATGGTAGACTCACCAGCAGCTTGTGCCCTGTGCCTTGAAAAAATGCAGGCACTCAACTCCAACCCATGAGTTGGTTGGGGGCTGCTGTGGGGTCTGCACCCTGCAAAAAAACAAAAACAAACAAACAAAAAAACACAACCAGTGAGTTTGTGTTGCTGTTTTTATCTGCTTTAGTGTTCTATTTTCTGGATTTAAGTTCTGCAAAGTGGCAGAACTGTCCAAGGCCTTGGGAAACCAACCCTTGCACCAGTGTGCCCTGGATGTGGGACATGGAGTCAAAGGAGATTATTTTGGAGCTTTAAGATTAAATAACTGCCCTGCTGGGTTTCAGAATTGTATAGGGCTTGTTGCCTCTTTTTTTTTGGCTGATTTCTCTCTTTTGGAATGGAAATGTTTACCTAATGCCTGTATCACCATTGCATCTTGGAAGTCAATTTAGATGGTTTTTTATTTAGCTCAAAATAGCTCAGAAGTGGGAGGAACTTGCCTTGAGTCTCAGATGAGACTTTGAACTTTGGACTTTGGAGTGATGCTGGAATGATTTAAGATTTTTGGGGACTATTGGAAAGAGATTATTATATTTTGAAATGATACGGTTTGGATCTTTTGTCCTCTCCAAATTTCTTGTTGAAATGCGACCTCCAATGTTGAAGGTGGGCCTAGTGGGAGGTGTCTGGGTCAAGGGGACAGATCCCTCATGAATGGTTTGATGTCATCTTCATTGTAATGAGTAAATTCTCAGCCTTTGAGTTCATATGAGATCTAGTTGTTTAAGAGAGCCTGAAACTTCCTTCTCTCTCTTGTTCCCTCTCTTGCTGTGTGGTATGCTGGCTTCCCTTTTAATTTCTGCCATGGTTGTAACCTCCCTGAGGCCTCACCAGAAGCAGGTGCTGGTGCCATGCTTGTATATCCTGCAGAACTGTGAGCTAAATAAATACTTTTCATTATAAATTACTCAGTCTCAGATATTCCTTTATAGCAATGCAAATGGACTGACACAAAAAACTGGTACCAAGAAGTTGCTATAAAGATATCTGAAAATATGGAAGCAGCTTTGAAACTGGGTAACAGACAGAGGTTGGAAGAGTTTGAATTACTCAATATTAAGTATACCTTAATAGCAACACAAAATGAACTAACACAACCAGTGAGTTTGTATTGCTGTTTTTACCTGCTTTAGTGTTCTATTTTCTGGATTTAAGGATCCCTTCTCCCCTTTCTCTTAAGTTATCTATAATTCATAACAATGTATTAGATTATACTTTTGTACTTAGAAATGAACCATTTATTTTTTTCTCCCTTTTTGACCCCTCCAGAATTCAGAAACTCTTATTTAACTTGTGCAAATAACAATACTCTTATTTTCATGGCAATATAGTTGTTTGAATAAGTTCAATAAGTCTCCATTCTTCCTGTAACAGGACATAATTGGAAAAAACGATTACATAACCAAGACTTTGACTGGAATGTTACAGTTGGAAATAATGCATAGAATCAGATGTGATCAGTTTTAAGGAATAAAGGTTGATTTTCTGGAGCCAATGCTTACAAAGTCCTCTTGGGAAAGCCAGCCTGGTAATTGAGTTATGGAGTTTTTGGCCTTACAGCTAAGTAAGGAAAATGACTTCCTGGGAAGCTCAGGAATCAGGATATTCTGGGGACCTCAAGAAAGAAAGGAATTAACACAAGTCTATAGATACTGCAGGTAAAATCTGATGGTGAGTTAGCTTGACTTTGTAGCTTTGAGAGTTGTTAAAAGTTGAATATGAAATTTTTAATACAAATGATATGGTTTGACTCTGTGTCTCCACCCAAATCTCACACTGAATTGTAATCCTCTAGTGTTGGAGGTGGGGCCTGGTGGGAGGTGATTGGATCATGTGGGTGGTTTCTAGTGGTTTAGCACCATTCCTCTAGTGCTCTCTCATGATAATAGTTCTTATGAGATCTGGTTGTTTAAAAGTGTGTAGCTTTTCCTCCTTCATTCTCTCTCTCCTGCTGCCCCGGCAAGACATGCTTGCTTCCCTATGGCCCTTCTGCCATGATTATAAGTTTCCCAAGGCCTCCCAAAGCATGTTTCCTGTACAGCCCGTAGAACTGTGAGTCAATTAAACCTCTTCTCTTCATAAATTACCCAGTCTCAGGTATTTATTTATAGCAATGTGAGAATGAAATAAAACACAAAGATTCCAGCAAAGCAAATTTTTTAAAAGTCTACATAATCAATTACTATTCTTGCACACTTATGTAAATAATCAGGCCAAAACTAATGAGGCCAGACTTATCTTGTAAACAAGAATCAAAAGTGCAGTGATTGTAGAGAGAAAAGTTACGCTTTAATTGCACACTATAACATACCTAAAGGAGTTATTAGATACTAGCTATGTTCACTGTCTTTGAGGTTTTTGTTATCTATCTATAAACTGGCCTGGATTCTGCCATCTTGCACATTTGTCAGTCCTTACCAAATTTTCAATTCTTTTAGTTTCTTCTAATATCTTGCCACAACTCTCCAAACTAACATTCCCAATTTTTCCTCCACTCTCATGACTTGGAGTCACAGGCAACTAAAACCTGGATGCCAAGATCTTTTTAGAGATTTTTGGTTGTCTTGTATCTATAAAGTCCTACAAACTGAAGCTGAACAATGGGCAATGTTCACAACTGGAGTTTCTTCAGTGTGGCCCCTCAGGATGCTTCACCCAACAACTAGAAGTTCTCTCAACTGGTTTCCCTAAAGTGGCTTATGCAATTATGGTGGCTGAGAAGTCCAGGGTCTTCAGTTGGCAAGTCAAAGACCCAGGAGATCTGATTACATAATTCCAGTCTGAGTTGAAAGACCTGAAGACAGTGATATAAGTTCAAGTTTGAAGACCTGAAAACCAGGAGAACCAAAGATGTAAGTTCCAGACCATGTCCAAGTACAAAGGCAGAAGACTGATATTCCAGCTTTGAGATGTGAAGAAAGAATGTATTTTTTCTTACTCAAATTGTTATTTCATTCAGAACTTCAATAGATTATATGAGGCCCAGTCTCACTGGGGATATTGCCACTGGGTAGGGAAATCTGCTTTACTCAATCTACCAGTCTAAGTGTTAGTATCATCCATAAATACCCTCACAGGCACACACAAATATAATATACAGCCTCCCTCCCAGCTGCTTTCATGGGCTGGCGTTGAGTGCCTGGCCTTTCCAGGTGTATAGTGCAAGTCATCGGTGGATCTACCATTCTGGGGTCTGGAGGATGGTGGCTCTCTTCTCACAGCTCTACTAGGCAGTGCCCCAGTAAGGACTCTGTGTGGGGGCTCCAAGCCCACATTGCCCTTCTGCACTGCCCTAGCAGAGGTTCTCCATGAGGACCGCAAACCCGCAGCAAACTTCTGCTTGAGTATCCAGGCATTTCCACACATCTTCTGAAATCTAGGTGGTGGTTCCCAAACCCCATTTCTTGACTTTTGTGCACTCACAGGCTCAACACCACATGAAAGCTGCCAAGACTTGGGGCTTGCACACTCTGAAGCCATGGCCTGAGCTCTACATTGGCTCCTTTCAGCCACAGATGAAGTGGCTGGGACAGAGGGCACTAAGTCCCTAGACTGCACACAGTATGGAGAACCTGGGCCCATCCCACAAAACCACTTTTTCCTCCTAGGCCTCTGGACCTGTGATGGGAGGGGCTGCTGTGAAGACCTCTGACGTGCTCTGGAGACATTTTCCCTATTGTCTTGGGGATTAACATTTGGCTCCTTATTACTTATGCAAATTTCTGCAGCTGGCTTGAATTTCTCCACAGAAAATGGGATTTTCTTTTCTATCGCACTGTCAGACTGCAAATTTTCCAAATATTTACGCTTTGCTTCCTTTATAAAACGGAATACCTTTAACAGCACCCAAGTGGCTTGTTGAATGCTTTGCTGCTTAGAAATTTCCTTCCACAAGATACCCTAAATCATCTCTCTCAAGTTCAAAGTTCCACAAATCTCTAGAGCAGGGACAAAATCTGCCCGTCTCTTTGCTAAAACATAGCAAGAGTCACTTTTACTCCACTTCCCAACAAGTTCCTTATCTCCATCTGAGACCATCTCAGCCTGGATTTCATTGTCCATATCATTATCAGCATTTTGGTCAAAGCCATTCAAAAAGTCTGTAGGGAGTTCCAAACTTTCCCACATTTTCCTGTCTTCTGAGCCCTCCAAATTGTTCCAACCTTGGCCTGTTACTCAGTTCCAAAGTTGCTTCTATATTTTCGAGTATCTTTTCAGGAGCACCCCACTCCTAGTACCAGTTTACTATATTAGTCTGTTTTCATGCTGCTGATAAAGACATACCCAAAACTAGACAATTCATAAAAGAAAAAGGTTTCATGGACTTACAGTTTCCCATGGAAGGGGAGGCCTCACAATCATGGTGGAAGACAAGGAGAAGCAATTCGCATCTTACATGAATGGCAGCAGGCAAAAGAAAGAGAGCTTGTGCAGGGAAACTCTCATTTTCAAAACCATCGGATCTCATGTGACTCATCTACCATCACAAGAACAGCACGGGAAAGACCTGCCCCCATGATTCAACCATCTCCCACCGGGTCCCTCCCACAGCATGTGGGAATTCAAGATGAGATTTGGATGGGGACACAGCCAAACCATATCAGTTGAGAACCTACATGTTTTGGGAAAATAAAAAAAATAAGGATTCATCTATCACTTTTGAAATAAAATCCAAACTTCTCCTTGTCAGGGAGGTTTTCTATCTATAGTAAATCTGAATCTATTACAGCTCTTATCATTTCCTCTCTCCCTTTCTTCCCTCCTCTCTCTCTTTCTTTTACCCTCCCTTCCTTCCTTAGTTGCCCTCCCTATTAGGATGTAAACTTGTGCTGACTTTATAAATCACTGTATCTATAGTACCTAGAAGAATATTTGGTGCATAGTTGCCACTCAATACTTTTAAAAAAAATAGACCACTTTGCATTGAATCAATAACGTTTTTTAATGCTTGTTGGTGAAAGAAAGCTCACAATTGAACTCAAACTTCCTTTACCTATGCTTTGTGGAGAATCATCATACTTCACTGGGGAAATTAGCAGATTTAATGGGTATTAGTAGGGTATTTAGAACCAAGGTTTCTAGCTACAACCCAGATTCACAATTTATTGTTATGTGAATCCCTTATCTATAACATAAGGATGATGACAATAATATCAGCCTCACTTGGTTATCAGAGGATTAAGCAGCTGACATTTAAAATGCATTTCATAAATGTCAGTGTCCTGCCCTATCCCCCTTGAGTAGGAAAAAATTAACTTCCTCTTTCTAATCCTGTGTATATGCAAAATATGAGTGTTCTGTCTTTTCCTTTGTTTGCCAAAGAGGATCCTGGGTTTACCTGCCCATTCTTGGATCTTCCCAGCTCTCTAAGAACTTTTCTGCAATTGCCAGGTTCCTTTTTTGGATTTCAGCACTGCAGAATTGGAAGAAAATGTTAAGACATGGAAAGGTGATAGCTTTGCTGGTAGATTGTATAAGAAAGAAAACACAGTGGGAGTATACCGGAACAATATTCTTCAATGAGCAGTGATGGATGATGAGGACAAACTGGCTTAAGCATAATTAAGTTGGAGGGGCATTTTGTATTTAGGGACAGGGAAGGAGAGAAATGGAGGACACAGAAAGTCATGGATGAGGGAAAGAATCGTCTAAGCTAACACCAAACATAGCTGATATTTATTAGGTGCTTACCATGAGCCAGCTCAATCAATCTTACTTATTCCTCATAACAGTTCTGTAAGTACCTTAAAGATTTAAAGTTTTAGAGAATTGGAGACAACCTGAAACTTGTATAAGCTTTCTGTAAAATATGACTCCATTTCTTATATTTTTGTAGAGAAATGAAGAAACAATGAAACCTTTGTTTAGATTAGCATCTCTGAAAGAAAAATAACTCTGAGATTGACCCACATGGGTCACAGCTTCAGAAGATGGCACATGTAATCAATGCTGCATAGGTTTCTATTCCTTAGTATTAGCTATAAATACACCAGAACTTCTCTTTGCTACTCAATATTGAAAATTTCTTTATCAGAGTGAAAGGTCTAATTATAAAAACCTCTAAAGACAAAAACATCCACAAGACTGTATCATGTAAATTCTAAGAATTAAAGCTTGGTCATTCTCTGTGATGGGTACAAAGATTAAAGCAAACAGAAAAAAAAAGAAAGGTCAGTTTTCTTCTCAGTAACTTGGAAATATAATTATTAAACCTAATGGAAAACCCTACATTTTAAGAGGAAAAAACCCCACAAAATTGTAATTCAATTTTTATTTCAAATTATTAATTTTTAAAAATCTGCCATTGGAATTAGTTTTTATATTACTTCTTTTTTATTAGATTTTCTTTGATTCTAAAGAAGACTAACTATTAATTGTAATTATTTTCCTTTAGGAGTATTGTGTCCTGACAATAGTGTGGGTAAGTGGGTGT
Source organism: Homo sapiens (assembly GCF_000001405.40). Taxonomy (NCBI): domain Eukaryota; kingdom Metazoa; phylum Chordata; class Mammalia; order Primates; family Hominidae; genus Homo; species Homo sapiens. The sequence continues at coordinate 173,192,847 of NC_000003.12, read as the reverse complement.
GTAATTCTGTTAACAAACTGATTTATACTCATTTCTGAGACTCAAAAGAATATACTCTTAAAAATTTACTTGTAAATTGTCTAGTGAGAGATTCATTTGCGCTTTGACTACCCGCAGGTTGCCTTGTTTACAAGCTTTATTTTCATTCTTTTCTTTAATTGAAAGAGTAAAAAGCCCTAGGAATTTTCAGGGGACAACTAAACTTCAGCCCCATATGTTATCTTATTATGTTTGGCTTTTAAGTGTGTTTAATTTTCATTTTCATTGCAAAGGCAAACTTCTATCTCCTTTGATCTTTAAAACCATATTTCTGGATAATTTTAATTCATATAAGCATAAAAACACCCTTTTATTGCACCATTTTCAGGATATTGAGTATCTTTCTACCAGTTGTCTTCAAAATAATAACAAAACAAAAGCACAGATTTGCATAACATTCACGATTTCAAATCAATTTCACACACCTTGTCGCATTTTCTCCTTCCAAAGCTTTATGAGGTATGGAAGCTGGTATTATTTTCCACACTTTATAGACAAGGAAATTGAGGTACAGAGTTTAACATACTTGCCCAAGGGCATAGATCTAATAAATGATAAACCAGGACTACAACCCAGGACTTCTCTTTCCTGATCCACAAAATAATGAATCAAGTGTGTTTTTTGAAGCCTTAATTTCTATTCTAGCTAAGCTTTTACTATTAGATTGGACCAAATATTTATCCCTTATTATTATGACTAACAGTATATTTTCATGATGAGTCAAACTCTGCCTCAATTTTCTTATTTGTAAAAAGCAGATAATGACAGACTCTAATTCATTCAGTTGTTGTGAGAATGAAATGAGTTAATGAAAGTAATGGAGCTCTCCACGTGAACCAACCTTCATTAAAATCCTGGCTCTGTCACCCTAACTATGCAAGCCTGGGTGATTTCACTTTCCTGAACCTGTAAAATAAGAATACACTAGCTCACAGATTCTTGATAGGATTAACTGAGATAATATATGCAAAGCTCCAGTACAGTTTAAGCATCAGATAAATGGTAACTGCTACTGCTGCTCTTGTTTTCCTAAGTATGAGTCATTGTCAAATCCACCACTTGTTTTATTTTACTTTGCTTGTTACTAAATCTCATGATTCAGAATTTCACTCCATTAATCACTTCATTGATCAACATACTTTGGTCACTTTGAGCATAGCTGTCCACTAGATATAAAAGCACTTTACTTCTTTTCACCCATTTTTCCCCATCTTGCTCATTGGATATGATGAGAGATTTTTCAGAGGGCTTAATAAAAATAAACCAATTTATTTGCCTTATTCATTGGATTCCCATAGCACTTAGTTTGTGCCTCTGTAATAGGATTTACTCATGGTGAGTTTCTGTTTTTACTTCTATATTACTTCTCAATATCAGATGAGAGGAAGCTGAGTGGCACTGTGGATCCAGCCAGCAGTGTCCCATGGAACAGGGTTTTGCCCAGAATTTCATGACCTTGTGCCCATGCTAGCAGCTCAGAGAACTAAGGGTCAGTGACCAGAGGCAGCCTCTTACATGGCTACGCAGCCTACTGTCTGAAGATGGGTGACCTAACACAAATAATATAAAGTGAAATGTCAAAGTTCAAGATGTTAATCTAAGTAGTTCAAGAACTGATGAATCAGGAGTTGGTGAAATGTGCACTGATGAATGAGAAAATTCAAAGTTCGTGAAAGAAAAGTAAAACTGGAAAAATAATCTAAGCTAGAATACAGGCCATATCCGATTAGATGTTTTACGTATCTGCTGAAGGCAGTTATAAGAAATGATGTAAAGAAGAGAATACTGGTTTTCCCTCTGCTAGACATGAAATGAAAAGCCTCACAGCCATGTCAGGCCCACCTGCTGCTACCTTTTAGCCCATCACAGAAGAGTTGTCATGGAAAGTCTTTTCTTTCCAGGGTATTAACAAAATTCTTCCCATCTGGTGAAGCCTTGGGTCTCCTTTTGTGAATTAAGGAGAAAAGGACACAGATTCTTCAGTCTCCACATACTCCAATGAGAAAATCCTATAACTAGGCTAAAATTCCCATGGTGGATAAGTTTCCTGCTTGTGCATTCTATTGTTGTTACTGTTTTCTTTTTTTACTTTTTACTTTGAGTTACAAACTTTCATTCACAAACTCTTGTCAATGATTTCTTCTGCTCCCATGCCTACATGGCTTGCTTCTGCCAACCTGTCTAGGAACAACTGTTTCAATAAAAGAATATTTACCAAAGATTTCTTTTTGCCTTTTCCTCTAGCATGGAAATGAACTTGCACTTGCAGCATACCTAGCCAATGATCATCCAAAGCAAAAATACATGCGTAACACATAAGCTATACATCACAGGAACAGATGCCATCATGCTCAAATTTAATGGCTCTCAGGGGTAATTCTTTAGCTCCTTTGATATATTTCTCCCTATAAATTGTTATGGGAATTGCCTCTTTGCAGCTCCTATTCCCAGAGGGAAGAGCCACTTATTACTTACTTAAGACCTATCTTCTCCTACTTGTTAACCTGCAAACCTGCTATAGAAGGTCTGCTTTAAACAAGATTTCAACCCTGTCTCTACTTGCTCACCCTCAGAATATATACAATGGAACCTTACAATAGAATTCACTCTCTCTCATGGGCATTTGGTCTGCACAGTAACATATTTTTTGTTGTTTTCTTGCTTTGGTAGCATTTCCTGCTTCTCCTATGTCATATGGAATTTGGGACTGGAAAAAACTGTCAGCATAAGAATAAATAGGCTAGAGTTTTCTTGGGAAATTGCAAAGGAGAAATAGGTATGATGAAAGAACCTTATGTGTATTAGAATATAAAGTGGAAAGAATGGTGCTAAAAGTAACCGCAAGGTTTTAAGTCAGAGAGACAAAGAGGACACAGCCCACATAATATTAAGACTTTAGACTATGCTGAACATATTTGAGTATTATTTTAGTCATCCCAAAGTTCTGAAGTCCCTAACACTAGCTGACAATACAGTGTCATATGTAAGAAGATCCAGAAGTCTCACCCAGTGGACATTCAAAATGAGCGACCTAACCCACTGTAATTTTTCTAAGAGTATTTGGATTACTTTTTGTGTTCATTTAATATTATATCATGCAACCAAAAGAATCATGAGAGCTATCAACTTATCAGTTGGTCTGTTAATTAATTTATATAAAATCTACCATCTCTGACTCTCAGTGGTACCATGAAGGACATTTCCAGACCATGGGCAGCAAAATCATCACTGTTAATTTTTACAATTGTCTTCTAATTCTCCCTGACCTTCAGCTTTCTCCTGTGTGTTTTGTGTATCTTCCATTTCTATCTCAAATGCTAAAAACGACTCACATTGTATAGTTTGAAGACTTTTATTATTTTAAAAATTAGAACATTTCCCCTTATTTTTTGACTTTTTAAAGTAAAAAGCTCCAGCATTTGCTTTATATTTTCTATTATCCTTGTCTCTTCTTCTTTTCTCTCTTTCTCTTCCCATCTATCTTGGTCAATTTTCTGCTGCTATAACAGAATAAGTAATTTATTAAAAAAAAACAAACAGAAGTTTATTTAGCTCATTGCTCTGGAGGCTGGGAAGTCCAAGAGCATATCACCAGCAACTGGTGAGGGTCATCCTGTGGCAGAACAGTGGAAGGGAGAAGTGAGCAGGTGAGACAGAGAGAAATATGAGGCCAAACTTATCCTTTGCCAAGAGGCCACACCCACATCAACTAACCCACTCCCATAACAGCATTAATTCTAATGCAAAAATTAGGCATTTTGCTTTGGATAATCATTGGCTATGTATGCAGCAAATGCAAGTTCATTTCCATGCTAGAGGAAAAGGCAAAAGGAAACCTTTGGCAAATGTTGTTTTAACAAAACATTGAATTGTATCTAGACAGATTGGCAGAAGTAAGCCAGGTAGGCATGGAAGCAGAAGACATCATTGACAAGAGTTTGCGAATGAAAGTTTATAATTCAAAGTAAAACGTGAAAAATAAAACAGTAATAATAATAGAATGCACAAGATCTAATCACCTCTTAAAATCCACACCTCCCCATACCATTACATAGGCAATTAAATTTCAACATGTATTTTGGAGGAGATGTTTAAACTATAGTATCATTCATCTTTACCCCCCCTTTTCCACTACCTACTACCCTGGCACAAAGAGACAATGATCTGTTCTCAACCACAAACATCCAATGCAAGAATTCCAGCATTTCTCAGCCTTACCATCTCCCAGGCAGAAATGCTCACTTTCCTTTTGGAAACTCGTAGTAAATAGAAAGAAACGATGAACTTTTAACTAAAGCTACAATTAACTGACTGTCCTTGGCAAAAATAAATGTTTTATTAAATATTACCATAAAATCTATTTCCATAAATAAAGGAAAGCAACCACTTTCATATTTAAATAATCTTCTTATTACCCAAAACTAGTGCTGGGTGATGCTTTTAAGTAGCTATCATCTTATTGTGTGCTTGTTCTGTGTCAAGCATTGTGTTAAGTAAAATATACTATTTTGTTTAATTCTCACTATAGTTCATTGAGATCAGTATTGATAGTATTACTGTAGGTTTTAAAATGAGAAAATTGAGATTTCAGATGGCTAAAGATGATCAAACTAAAAAAAATAGTAAAAATGTAAAATTGAAATTCAGATCAGATGTGTTCTAATGCTTCTAGAACTTTTTAAAGAGCTTTCAAAATATATTTTCAGGCAAAGATGAGAACAAAATTATTGACTAAATGGAATAATGGACTTCTTTGTCAAACCCTAATTTACAAATGGAGCATGTATCTACCCCTTTACTTCTCAAAGTGTTCCATGAAGATAATAAAAACAAAAACATTATTAATTTGGTTATATTTTAAAGCAAATTTTGAACATATTTCACCTATTAAATAATTACATAAGTATATCTACAACATATAGATATTTGCTGTGTAATACTATTATCATACCACAGGAAATTAGTAATGACTCTATAAATAAAATAACCAGTTCATATTTAATACTTTGGAAACAGGAGGAAGACTCCTAATGTTTACAGGACAGGACTAGAGACCAAATGAGGCTCATATACTATAATTAAATATTTACAATTTTACATTAAATATTTAACCATTAAACATCTAAATATTTTAAATCTAAAATCAGCTAAATTATTAAATAAATGATGTTTAGCCTTCTAACTCAAAAAATCTACCTTTACATAATAACAAAACTTAAAAATATGTGTACAGCTATGGTTTTTATACAACTGTAAGTTGAAAAAAATGTTGACAATGACTACATTTAATTATTACTACATGTGTTAATGTTCCCTGGTTAGCTGGTAATGTTTTGATGTATACTCAAATACAGATAAATATAATTCATAAGTTACTACATATTATTACATAATTTTTTTGAATTTCACTTCAAGAGAAACACTGATTTTTATCATTATAATTGTGGCATAACATGGTTTTTGTTCTATTAATGGGAATGAATTAAATAATTAAAAACAATGTATTTTCAAAAGTATAAAAAATTGATTATATTTTATCAAATGTTATTTGTCAAATTTTTAAATTAAAATTATTTTCATGTTTCCTAAACCAGCTATTTTTTATAAAACATTCTAAGTCAACTATCAAAATAATAAAAATATATATTAAAATTAATGAATATTAAAATTCATCTTAACATCTAATATTCATATTTAATTTTGAAAATTTAATTAAATCATTACTTTTTAATGAAACCACTATTCTTAATTCTTTCATTCAATGCTCATCTCATTGCCAATGTGAAAAAATGGTATTACACTTCACCTAAATTACCTCTATATCTACATATATACAAGTTTCAAAGTAAATATGAGTGATTTCTTACTGTAAAAATTATTTAGCCATTACATGCAACTGTTGCAAATATCACATTATTTTATTAATACCTCCAGAACTAAGAGTTAGAATAGGAAAATAAACAAAATAAAGGACTGCCATTACTACTGAGAAATAATACTTCATTATACTGCAAAGCCTATGGCAGTCATAGTAACTGCAAGGAACTTCATTTGATGAGTCAATTAATGTGTCTTTTTTTCCCAATAAGAAAAGACATTTCTGCCTTTCTGTTATAAAGCAGTGTAAATTTCTCATGTTGATGAAGGCATAATCTTCAAACCTTCACCATATTTTGAAAGTCTTCTATGATTTCTACAACATGAGTCTAAAGAGATGAAGCTTTTCCTTGGGGCCCAAATAGAGTCAGCCACAAAAATAGATGTTTAAGACTATAGGTCATGTTGTGCCAGTGCTGAATGGCAGCTCTCAAGTGTCCGAAGTATTCCTTTTTTGATCTTGTTTTTGTATATGTTTTCTATATTTGTGTATGTTTGTACTATACAGAAATATCTAACTTGCTGGCCCAAGGAAGGAGGCTCTATTGTCCAGGTCTAGAATTTAGGTGTCATAGCTTATTTTCAATGTCAAAGGAGCATTTGTTGAAGAAGCCAATTCCAAAAGCTTGGATGTCTCTCCATGTTGTTTCAAGTTTAACCTAATCAGGACTTCCATACATGATTTACTTTTGTTTGGCAATGATACACAGTATCTCTAACCCCATCTGTGCTTAGCTAACCTAGAAGTATAAATCAGCTGTGCAGCAGAGTGTCCACTGGGTCCCATCCAACACTGTACAATCAAACTGTAATGTACCCATGATATTAAAAAAAAAGAAATCAGCTCATCCTTATATCTATGCAATTTTATTTTTCATTATATGAAGACTACTCATCAATATAAAAACAATAAAAGAGATTCTAGAAATGGGAATTACCGTGAAGATTTTGCAAGAAAATAGTTAAGAATAAAAATAAAATACAATGAAGACACTCATTCTTTATTCCAAGAATGAGAGATCTGTATGCACCAAAGGAAAACAAATGTGTGTCAAATTGCTACTTAATCCTTGTCCAGGCAGAATTCAATCAGGGCAAGGTACCTGATCATATTGCCATGATGATCTATTGAAGTTATGTCTATATATATGACAATTCCCACAACAGAAACAAAAATAGACTATCAATATATGTAGGAGTATATGAATGTTGAATGGGAGAAACAAGTTACAAAACTGTCTGTTCTGTTTCAGTCTAGATTATAGAAATGTAACACAGAAAGTTTTATGTAGATAAAGAAAGACTGTTAAAAGGTATGTATATATATTAATATACAAACATGCACAACTGTGCTTGAGTATGTTTGGCTAAGTATACTAGAAATCTTATGTAAATAATCTGGATTGTATTCAAGTAATAGTGAAAGTAATTAAACAGATAACGGCACTGATTAAAAAGAAAGTATTATAATAAGTAAATATATGAAGTTTGGAAAGAAAAAGATTAGTAACATAATTACATTGTTCAATCTCTGAAAAAGTGTGGCCATGAATATGAAAGAAGTCTTAATTTGTAAAGTTAAAATAAGAGCAATAAATTAAATTACAAGTGTTCCCTAAGTAACAAAAATATTTCTTAGAAGTTAGAGAAGTAGGAAATAGAATGAAGGGAAAAAAAATCTTTTGTGGAATGAGTCAGTGACAATTAGGGCCCTATATACACCACCACCAGTTCAGAGCACCAAAATATTTCTGCCAAATGTTTCCAAATTTGAATTTCAAGAAACCAGAAGGAGAGCATGAGTCATTGTGATGCCCTGCTCCAGTATCCTTCATGTTTGAAGTACTATAAGACCCAGTTTGCTAAACTCAGAGAACAAAAACCATCTAATTTCCTATAAGCATTTTCCAGTGAGAAGAGGGAGTGGTAATTGTTTGACTTCTATGTTATTGGTATCATTTGCACCTATGCAAGCGATCTCATGCATAATAGAGGCACTTCAATTTAATAATAATAATAATAAATGGAGTTCATTTTCTAATTAAATGAGAAAGTTACAAAAAACTGTCACTCCCACCTTAATGATAAAAACAACAAAAATCCAGGTAAGATGCAAAAATTACAGCTCTTAAAACTAACCAAAGCATTAAAGAAATAATGAGACCCAAGCAAAGTTTTAATCAGGAAGTGCCAGGTCCTTCATAGAAGAGAAGAGACACAGGCCTGCTGAGGAAGAAATATGCCATTAGAGTGAGAAGAGGGAAGAAAAAATATGTTAGATATCAGACACATATTTTATGAATTGTTAACAGCCATATGTAGGTTGGCATGGTAGACTTGAATTTAGAAGAAACCCACCCACAAACCAAAACTGCACCCATCTGTCAACTGTTGCTCATGAGTATTCACCAAATATAGGGAGTAATACACCAAAACTAGGGAGGGTGTCAAAGAATGAGAGCTAAGAGATAGCCCCATTGAAATGTCCATGGCCTCTGTCAAGTGCAAATCTTCTTCAGAGGAGGTTGTGTTAGGCAGGTATATTAGTCCTTTTTCATGCTGTTGATAAAGACTGGGCAATTTACAAAAAAAAAAAAAGGTTTAACAGACTTACAGTTTCACATGGCTTGCGAGGCCTCACAATCATGGCAGAAGATATGGAGGAGCAAGTCACATCTTACATGGATGGTGGCAGGCAAAGAGAGGGCTTGTGCAGGGAAACTCCCACTTTTAAAACCATCAGGTCTTGTGAGATTTATTCTCAATCACGAGAGCACCACAGGAAAGATCTGCTGCCAGGATACAACCATCTCCCACCAGGTCCCTCCCATAACACGTGGGAATTATGGGACCTACAAGATGAGATTTGGGTGGGGACAGAGAGCCAAACCATATCATTCTGTCCCTGGCGTATCCCAAATCTCATGTCTTCTCATTTCAAAACCAATCATGCCTTCCCAACAGTCCTCCAAAGCCTTAACTCATTTCAGCATTTACTCAAAAGTCCACAGTCCAAAGTCTTGCATTTGGTAAATATAGCCATTCCAAATGGGAGAAGTTGGCCAAAACAAAGGGGCTAGTCAAATCTTAAAGTCAAATCTTTACAGCCCCAGCAGGGCAGTCAAATCTTAAAGCTCCAAAATGATCTCCTTTGACTCTCACATTTCACATCCAGGTCATGCTGATGCAAGAGGTGGGTTCCCATGGCCTTGGGCAGCTCCACCCCTGTGGCTTTGCAGGGTATAGCCTCCCACCTGTCTGCCCTCACAGGCTGGCATTGAATGTCTGTGGCATTGAATGTCAGGGGCATGGTGCAAGCTGTCAGTGGATTTACCATTCTGGGGTCTAGAGGACGGTGGCCCTCTTCTCACAGCTCCACTAGGCAGTGCCCCAGAAGGGACTCTGTGTGGGTGCTCCAACCCCACATTGCCCTTTCGCACTGCCCTGGCAGAGGTTATCCATGAGGGCCCTGCCCCTGCAGCAAACTTCTGCCTGGGCATCCAGGCATTTCCATACATCTTCTGAAATCTAGTCAGAGGTTCCCAAACCCCAATTCTTGACTTCAGTGCACTCACAGGCTCAACACCAAATGGAAGCTGCCAAGACCTGGGGCTTGCACCCTTTGAAGCCACACCCAACCTCTACATTGGCCCCTTTCGGCCATGGCTGGAGCAGCTGGGTTGCAGGGCACCAAGTCCCTAGGCTGCACACAGCATGGAACCCTGGGCCCACCCCATGAAACCACTTTTTCCTCCTAGGCCTCCGGGCCTGTGATGGAAGGGGCTGCGGTGAAGACCTCTGACATGCCTTGTAAACATTTTCCTCATTGTCTTGGGGATTAACATTTGGCTCCTCATTACTTGTGCAAATTTCTGCAGCCGGCTTGAATTCTCCTCAGAAAATGAGATTTTCTTTTCTATCAGATTGTCAGGCTGCAAATTTTCCAAACTTTTATGCTCTGCTTCCCTTTCAAAACTGAATGCCTTTAACAGCACCCAAGTCACCTCTTGAATGCCTTGCTGCTTAGGAATTTTTTCCACCAGATACCCTAAATCATCTCTCTCAAATCCAACTTTCCACAAATCTCTAGGGCAGGGGCAAAATACCACCAGTCTCTTTGCTAAAACTTAACAAGAGTTACCTTTGCTCCAGTTACCAACAAGTTCCTCCTCTCCATCTGAGATCACCTCAGCTTGAATTTCATCGTCTATATCACTATCAGCATTTTGGTCAAAGTCATTCAACAAGTCTCTAGGAAGTTCCAATCTTTCCCACATTTTCCTGTCTTCTTCTGAGCCCTCCAAATTGTTCCAATCTCTGCCTGTTACCCAGTTCCAAAGTCACTTTTGCATTTTCAGGTATTGTTTCAGCAGCACCCCACTCTACTGGTACCAATTTACTATATTAGTTCATTTTCATGCTGCTGATAAAGATACACCTGAGACTGGGTAATTTACAAAAAAGAGGTTTAATGGACTTATAGGTCCACATAGCTGGGGAGGCCTCACAATCATGGCAGAAGGCAAGGAGGAACAAGTCACATCTTACATGAATGGTGGCAGGCAAAGAGAGAGCTTGTGTAGGGAAACTCCCATTTTTAAAACCATCAGATTCATGAGACTTATTCACTATCAAGAGAACACTACAGTAAAGACCCACCCTCACCCTCACTCCCATTACTCAACCATGTCCCACCGGGTCCCTCTCACAACATGTGGGAATTATGGGAGCTACAAGATGAGGTTTTGGTGGGGATACAGAGCCAAACCATATCAGCAGGGAAGCAAATGCAGGGAAATACATCATCTAAGGAAGGTTAGAGGGGTTGAAGAGATCACATACAAACAGACACACACACACACACACACACACACACACACACACACACACACCCCATTATAATTTGGCTCTCAATTACTAAAGACAGAAGGCTAATTGGGAAAGCTAAAGCTAAATCTCTTCAAAGAGTTCTGTATCTTTATAGAGTATAGAGCCACAGCCCTGCAAAGACTGGGAGATAGAAAACAGGTCTGAAAGAGACATTCCAAGATGCAGAAAGCAATGGGTATGTCTGAAAGGCAAAAACAATGCTTCAGGACCCACAAAACTGACAAACAGACTGTAAACTAGATATATCCCAGAGTTGCAAAAGCTGGTGGTTCAGCTTTGAAGTATAGGCAGATCTCTTGAGTATTGGTAGTGCTCTGACCCCAAGCCCTACAGAAGGAATAGTCCTGATTCAATTCTCCAAACATTTGAAGATAGCAGAAAACTAAATTAAGCTAATGTTGAAATAAAGCACAAACCCAAATCAACTACAGTATATTGACCCAACCTTTGCTCTCATGGTCTGATTAAAACTGTGCCTGCCTCTACTTAGAAGCAAATGTTACTTCCTTCAGCTTCTACTATCCTTTTTTTACAAAATGTTTCACAAAAAATTGAAAGATTACAAGCAAACAAAACGCAAAATATACGAACAATGAACAAGAGAGAAAATAATCAATAGAAGCAAAGCTAGAGATAGCACAAATGTTGGAATATCAAACAAATAAGTTAAAATAACCACAATAAAAATGTTAAAGAATAAAGTAAAAATGGTGCATAATAAGTAGGAAGATTGGAAATTTCAGCAAACACATGATAACTGCATAAAGATCTAAATAGAAATGTTGCATGTATGGGAGGCCGATGTGGGTAGATCACCTGAGGTAAGGAGTTCCAGACCAGCCTGGGCAACATGGTAAAAACCCGTCTCTACTAAAAATACAAAATTAGCCAGGCATGGTGACAGGTGCCTCTAATCCCAGCTACTCAGGAGGCTGAGGCAGAAGAATCACTTGAACCCAGGAGATGGAGGTTGCAGTGAGCCAAGATCGTGCCACTGCACTGTGGCCTCAGCAACAAGAGTGAAACTGTCTCAAAAAAACAAAAAAAAAGAAATGTTGCATGTAAAAAGTTATTGATTGAAAATTATAAATTCATTGAACGAACTTATAGCAGACTGGAAAAAGCAGAAGACAGTATCAATGAATGTGAGGGCTGATCAATAAAAAGAAAAGTATCCAAATGAAACAAAGAGGAAAAGAAACAAGTAAAATTAGAAATTAAAAAGAAAAAAAATCTGACCAGAGAAAGTCAATAGATATAATTATTTAAAAATTAGTGTGTGTGTAGGTATAATATCTGTATAATAATTTCTGAATTTATTTAAAGCAACATAAACATGAACTGTACAAAACAAAAATATAAACAATGTTTTATGGAGTTGTAAAATAATACGAAAAAATAGAAAACGAGCACACAGAGCAGAAAGAAGATAAAGAAAATTATGTTGATGCAAGATACATCAAAAAATATATACCCATATTCATGTGTGCTAGCTTAATAATACCTAGTGTAATATCTAGAACCACTATCTAAAATAATATGAAAAGTTATAGCTGAAAATACATGCATGAGATAAAATGCAATCCTAAAAATGTATGCAATATACTCAAGATGAGAAACAAGAAAAGAGGGAGAAAAATCAAGATGAGAAACGTAACACATCAATAATTGCATTACATACAAACAAAATAAATACTCCAAATAAAGAATGTCAGGTTAGATTTTAAAAATTCAAGATGAAACTATGTTTAAAGGAAATTATTTGAAAACAAAAGCATGAGTAAACTGAAAGAGAAAAGGTGTGAAAAAATACCATGATAACACTAAGCATAAGAAAATTGAAGTGGGTATATTAATATAACTAGACTTTGAGGAAAAGTATCAAGACAGGTAAATTTTATAATGGGAAAACCATCAATTTTAACATAAAATAACAATGATAAATGTATATGCAACTAATAACAAGCTTTGAAATATGTGATTCAAAAATTGTTAGAACTAAAGACAAAAACACAAAAATGTGTGATCATAATTGGAAATTTTTAAGACACCTTATCAATAATTGATTTTTTAAGTACAAAAGAATGAGTAAAGATTTGTATGATTTGAACAACATTAATAACCAGCTGAATCTAACTGATATTTATAGAACATCACACCCAATCACTGTAAATTATGCATTCTTTTTAAGTGCGCATGGGACATTTTTCTAGATCAGCATTTTTCAACTAGAGGCAATTTTGCCTCCCTGAAAACATTTGGTAATGTCTCAAGATATTTTTTGATTATTGCAACTATAGGGGAGAAACTGAGATCTAGTAGAGACTTTGCTAGCTATCCTAAAATATACAGAATAACTCCCACAACAAAGTAATATCCAGTCAAATATGTCTATGCGAAGTTTGAGAAACCATGACCTACATAGATCAAGTCTCAATAAATACCAAAGAATGTAAATCAGAGTATACATTCTAGACATAATAATATTAAAACTGAAGTAACATTAGTTATGTAGAAAATCCTCAAGTTTTTGGAAACAAACCAAAATACTTCAAATAATCCATGAGTCGAAGAAATCAAAGGTAAATTTCAATAAATATTTGAACTGAATGATAAGGAAAACAAAATATAAAATATATGGAATATAGATAAAGCAGTTCTTACAGAGAAGCTTATAGCTTTAAATGAAGAAAGGCAAGTAAAATCAATGTTCCAATTTCTCCACTTAGGAAACCAGAAAAACAGTAAGCTAATGAAAACCAAAGTAAGTAAACGAACTAAAAATAATAAAAATAGGGGAAGAAATGATATAATATAAAATAGAAATATTAGAGAGAGAAAAATGAACAAATAAGTTAGTTCTTAGGAAAATTTTATAAACATCAGCAATGAAGAGAGGGAGCATCACTGTAGATTCTTATAGACAATAATAAAGATAATATGGGAGTACTTTTGTGTGAAGTATGTGACCTACTTCACACACACAAAAAGGCAAAGGGATGCTAAAAGAGCAATTATATTGTCCCTTAATATATACTGACTTAAAGAATATATATTTTTTTCCTCATGTATCAGTAACCATAGATAATCCAATGCTAGTAGGACAACTCATTGATGTTGGGGCTTTTTCTTTCCATCTTATTTCACAACCTCTGTATTTTGGTCCTTGGGTGCATTGTTAAAGATGGCTTCCCACCACATCCACACTCCAGCCTCAGGGAAGGGATAAAGAAGGTAAAGGGAAAGAGGTTGGGGGGATTTCATTTTATTCTATCACTTCTGCCCACATCACATGCGGAGAACCTAGTCATGTTGTCATCCCTAGCTGCAAGAGAAGTTGCAAATGTGTCTAGCCAAAACTTGTTACTCTAGAAAGAGGTAATTGGTATGGGGATGAAAGGGCTGGAACAGCTGCTGCTTGTATCACAGCAAATCTGCAAAGCAAATTAGATTAGGGTTCTGTACAAAAATCGAGAATAAAGTGAATTCCCTATAATGAATAGCAAAACGAGAAAGCTGAAATATTTTACTGAAAAGGAAAAGGCAAATTATAATATACACATTTAAAATTTACATTTCATTGACCCTAGAAATCTATTAATTAGATGATGCACTATTATAATCACTAAGAAAAAAAAAGTTCCTAATTAAACTATGGCATATGCTTTCCTATTATTTAGAATTTTTATTTTATACTCTTTGCAGTAACTCTTCTAGATTATGTATGCATTTTAGCACATATCACACTGCTCTCTTTCCTTTCTATGTATACAATAACTGTACTATTGCTGAATCATAATGTACTCTTCCTGATATTTTAAATGGCAATTAAACTCAATGTATGTAGTACTGGCATTGTGCATCATTCCATTTAAATGATGATATTACGAGCAGCTATGGTCAAGTTTTCACGTGAGCAGATCATTACCACTGCCTGGCCAACAATGATTATAAGATGCATTCCAAACTCAGAGATGTCCCAATGTTAAAAACAAAAAGCACATCTTCAAATGAATGAAATAGAGGAATTATAACATACTATACGTACCCTCCCATCTTCTCTCTCCCCATCTCCACTCATTTTTGTTAGCTGTTTCTTTCTGAGCAGCACAGAAAAGTGATCATGCCACCTTCCTTTAAAGAGTTGAAATTCACTTTTGCTTTGCAGTCAATATCTATGTAATTGTGATTTTATATATGCTGATCATTGTTTCTATTTCTAGATGTCATCTATAAGCATACCAAGGAAGATGAATAATATAGTAACAAAATGGAATGTAAATAATAATATCCATGACAGTACAAATATAATAATATGGTAATCAGCATTTGAGAATTAGAGGGGACAAGGAGAGATTACATAAGGCCACTAAATCCATCAACTTACATCATGAAAATGCGAGTAACGTTGTCTAACATTGACACACCAATGAAATAGAGGCTTAATATATTAAATGAATTTCAAATTTAATTAAGAGAACTAAAAGCAATAGCATGACTAGAAGAGATACGAGGACAGGGATGAGGGGGAAGAAAAAGTGTAGAAAAGATTATATTTTTAAATATTCTTTTTCATCCTTTTTTAAGACTGATTATTTTTAATGATCACTTATTATTTGCTCATTTTATATGCAATTTTTTCTTTACAAATTCCATAGATGCTTAACTTGTACACTTTTCCAGACAATTCCAATAACTAAAGTCCTTGGTAATATCTCTCCATTACTCTCTGTGGTTGCCTGTTTCCTTTGTTGTCATTGTTTTTATTTTAATTATGTGTTCAAATATTTTATCTAATTTTTTCAGAGGAAGAGCCTAAAAGCTCAAATTGGGTATACTTTTCAGGGGCATTATTGACCTTGAACTTCTCTAACCCTACATAAGAAACTCTTCTTAGCTGCTACGTTGCAGTGAACCCCAGGCTTGGTCTCCTGTTCCCAGGAATTAGCTATCATTTCTCCTAGGGTAAGCTTTCTGCCTACAGGCTTTAGTTTATTTTATCTCTGGAACTGCCTCTTATTTTCCATGACTCCAGTGATTCTAATAAACTGACAAGTATACTTTAGCTTAAATTTTGTTGTATTATAGTAGAAGCATCCTTTATAGTATTCAGTCAGGTGTCCTGGTAGAGGTAGAAGAATATGTAACACTATAATAATGTATTAGTTGTCTATTGCTATCTAACAACTTATTCCAAAACTCAATGACAAAACAACAAACATTTATTAGCTCATAGTTTCTTTGGGGGTTAAGCATCCTGGAATGTCTTAGCTGGGTGCCTCTGGCCCAGGGTCTCTCACAAGGCTTCAATCAAGGTGTTGGCTGAAAATTGGGTCATTTCATGTCTGGATTTAGGGATGGTACACTTCCAAGCTCACTCACTCATTGAAGTCTTTTTTTAAACTATTGACCAGAGTCATCAATTCCTTGTCACATGGACGTCACAAAATGTGCTAGCTTCCCTCAGAACAAACCAGCAATAGAGCAAGAGAGGATGAGATGAAAGCCACAATCTTTTTGTAACTTAATCTCAGAAGTGACACCCCATTACTTTCACCATAGTTTATTCATTAGGAGAGAGTCTGCAAGTCCGTCCTACCCTCCAGGGAAACAGCTTACAGAAGGGCTACAAGGCAGGGATTATTGGAGACCATCTTATAAGCTGTCTACCACAAGGACAAAAATAACTAATTTTTAAGGGAGTAAATTTGGTATTTAAACAAATCCCTTTTCAGTATTATAGATACATCTTTCTTTAGGTCTTTATTATTATTTTACTCAATTAAGTATATTTAGGAAGTATTTCTACATTATACTTTTTATGTTAACATCTAAATAAATAAATATATACCCTCACTGGCTTTGTTCATACATTTATCTTCTAACATAGCTACTGCAGTTTTCTCAGAACTGGTCTTAGTGAATCTCTTCTATCTAGTTTATCTTGTATACATTTTACATTGTCTTTCCTTCATAAACGATATGTTGATCATACCATTCCTCTGCCATAAAGTTTTCTTTGGATCCTTATTTCTAGCTTCTCCTTTATTTCCCTAAGCCATTCTACTTGACCAACCTAGAGGGTATGTGTTTCCCTAGAGAGCATTTTCTGCTTAAACAAGTCTGATTCTTTTTACTTCTTGGCCTTTACTCTGGTTATTTTCATGCTTCCTTGGCTTTCCCTATGTCTAACTTTCTAAAAAGTACTTTCATAATCCCTCAGAGTCTAGTTCCAGGATCATGTCTTCTACCTAGGCCTGCTTCCTAGCTAATAGGGTAATGTTTTATTACCTGTAATTTTCATTCGACAGTTAATCACACGCTATTTTGTGACAGCTCTTATATGAATATAGCCTTCAACTCTCACTAATATTTAATATAAATGTAATGCTTCTTCAGCTACATTATTAGTACCTCAAAAGCAGAAAATGGTTTTCCAGAATATTCAAATCACTCACCATGCACCTAGCTTATAGATGTCACTCAGAAAACTATGTGAAAGATTGACTTCCACAGAAATAAAATCAGAAGTTTTACCTTTAAATCCACACCTACAACCTTCTGAGGTCTAACTTAATCTATCAATGAATCTTTTCATATATTCCAATAAAATAAAACTTTTTATTAAGTATTCAAATATTTGCAAAATTTGTATCATAACTAAAACAACAATTAAAATATTCAATGAATAAATATTAATAATAACTATTGGGCAAAAGATTAGAGTAGATATTTCTCAAAAGAAAACACAAATGGCAAACAGGCATATGAAAAGGTGCTCACCATCACTGATCATCAGAGAAATGCAAATCAAAACTACAATCATCTCATCCCAGTTAAAACAGCTTATATCCAAAAGGCAGGCAATAAGACAGGCGAGGATGTGGAGAAAAGGGAACCCTCATACACTGTTGGTGGGAATGTAAATTAGTATAACCAATATGGAAAACAGTTTCAAGGTTGCTCAAAAAATTAAAAAATTGAGCTATCATATGATACAGCAATCTCACTGCTATATATACACACAACAGAAAGAAAATCAGTATATCAAAAAGATATCTGCACTCCCATATTTGTTGCAGCACTATTCTCAGTAGTGAAGATCTGGAAGCAACCTAAACGTATATCGACAGATGAATGAACAAAGAAAATGTGGTACATATACACAATAATACTATTCAGCCATAAAAAAAGAATGAGATCCTGTCATTTGCAACAACATGGATGGAACTAGAGATCATTATATTAAGTGAAATAAGCCAGGCACAGAAAGACAAATATCACATGTTCTCACTTATTTGTGAGATCTAAACGTCAAAACAACTGAACTCTTGGAGATAGGAGTAGAAGGATAGTTATCCGCATAGGAAGGCTGGGAAGGATAGTGAAGTGGTTGGGGAGAGATGGGGATGGTTAACAGATACAAAATAATTAGTTACAAAGAATGAATAAAACCTAGTGTTTGACAGCATAACAGGGTGACTATAGTCAGTAATAATTTAATTGTACATTTTAAAATAGCTTAAAAAGTAGAATTGGATTGTGTGTAACACAGAAGATAAATACTTGAGTGGATGGATATCCCATTTTCCATGGACAGTTTATTATGTATTGCATGCCTGTATCAAAATATCTCATGTACCTCATAAGTATATACACCTACTATGTACACACATAAATCAAAAATTTTAAAAAAGATAACTGTGTTGCAAAGTTCACATGGAATTAGAAAGAAGCTTTATGAAAATCAAACTTAATGACCAACCTTTGTGATCTTAGTTTTCGTAACTGTGAATGTCTAATTATCTAAGTGCACACATTCCTAAAGATATGAGGGAACAAATGAGAGGGCTACTCATAAAGGATGAGGAATGTAAGTAGGAAAATAACCATAAAGTATACTAAATTATTTAAGAATCTTAAAAATGGAAACTATAATTTAATCCTGTTTTCACTCATGAAGCAAAGTTCAGGGGAAAAGTCTGGCAGTCACATTCTCTTTGCTGCACAGGAAGCCAGGGTTACAGGCAGTGGATGGTTGCATGTTACCTTGTTGAAGGATAACCCAGTATAAGGCAATAGAAAAGAAAATAATAGGTTAGCCATACTTCAACTTTAAAGATCCCTTTTGAAGAGATCATGCTAAATCTAGAAACCTTTCAATCATTTCTGTTACAAATTACGCTTGAACAAGTCACAGCAGGACACCCAGGATCTCAAGTACTTTAAGAAAACAGGAACATCACAAGGAGGAAAACTGAAGATTTCTCTTTTCAAACACCATCTAGTTTTGAAAAACGCTAAATCTTACTAGGTTACAATGTGTTAGGTGAGGTGTCCAAGGGCAGAGAATGACTCAGTGGCAAAGCTAAGAATAAAACATGGGCTTTACACCCTAGAAAACTTTTATTTAAAATAAAAACTTCAAAACTTCAAACCTATGTGTAACTGGAAATGTTCTTAGGAATTTCCAGGTGTTTCACTGAAAAATTCCCTTCCCTTCTTTTCTCTCCTCTCTTCCTCTCTTTTTAAATTTAAAATAAGCATTTGCAAAAATGGTATGCTAAGTAAAATGCAATTAACCCCACAATATAAAAGACTTAAAGAGAGCTGGAAGAAGAAGAAATAACAGTAGGAAGGAAGAATTAAATGAAATTAACATTTGTATTTTATGCTACAGGAAGGGATTTCTTTTAGAGGACCTTGTAATGTAGTACAAAGTGTGTAATTTCTAAGATTAGAAAATATGAGTTCAAATCCCTGTACTGTCCTATGAGATCTGGGAAAGTGACTTAGTTTAAATTTCAAGGTCCTTATCTGTAATATAGATAATTGTGTAGCCCAAAACAGATGTTATATCTCTAAACTTCAAAGTCTACATAATTATTAAGTCATGTTCGGCTCCCAAGATTTTACATTATTTTCTCCTAATGTATGAAAGGACAGGGGCTAGCTCCAGGCAAAACTGTAGAATAGCCAAAATTAAATCTCGTCACTCCTCCTTTTTCCAGGTTTCTCCCTTTTCATTTTTTTTTTCATTTTTTAGAGTTTAATGTCATGTATATGAGTTTTTCTTGGTAAGATTTTACATATAGTAGAAGCACAATCTTTTATTTATTTATTATTATTATTTTTTATATATATTTTATTATACTGTAAGTTCTAGGGTACATGTGCACAACGTGCAGGTTTGTTACATATGTATACATGTGCCATGTTGGTGTGCTGCACCCATTAACTCGTCATTTACAAAATGCTCATCATCCTTTTCATTATTTCTTATACATATTTGCCAGTATCTCCTCCCTCTACAACAGATGCAAATTTCCTTTCCGCTTCTACCACCTTCTCCCTTTTCTATGCCCAAGCAAGATGAGGAGGTGTCCATACCTGCATATGTGTTCCCCTGCATAGACATATAAGAATGAAAGCTTATAGAAGAACTTAAGATCTTCCTCCCTTCTGGTAGCATTTTGTCAATGGGCTCCAAAAGACATCCCCTCAGAATACCCCAGAAAGTTTACTACTATGATACAGATTATGAATCATATAAAACAGAACAGAAGACACATCACAGCAGAACAGGAGATATTTTGGGAAAGTCAAAATTTTTGCAGCACCACTCACAGAATAAGACACCAACTACTAGCATATGCCCTACGTCTACTTTCTATTTTATTTTTTAACTGCTTAAAAATAATTTCCGGTCACATGGTTATATTTGTAAAGCTCTAACTGAACTTAAAGGAGTTCAACATTAGAACCATGAAGGCATTTATGAAACAGTGTTGCTCAACATGAGCAGTAGCCATTTTTAAATATGGACCTTCAAGTGGCATTCAATAGCAATTTGAATTAAAATATAATTCAGCTAGATTTACATTTATGGTTTGAATGACTGGCAAGCTATATTTCACTTTTTTGTCCTA
Source organism: Homo sapiens (assembly GCF_000001405.40). NCBI lineage: Eukaryota > Metazoa > Chordata > Mammalia > Primates > Hominidae > Homo > Homo sapiens. The sequence goes on along the minus strand of NC_000003.12, from coordinate 173,172,112 downwards.
CAAACATTCTAAATGTGTGAAAACAATGTTTTCTGCAATATGAAGGGAAAACTAAGTGGAAATGTCAAAAGTAGCCCATTATAATATGAGTGGCTTGTCCTAGTGATGCTCTCAGATTTAAGCAATGTAGATCCTCTACTTTTAAAAACTAACAGTTGATGTAAATTAATTCAACCATTGTGGAAGACAGTGTGGAATTCCTCAAGGATCTAAAATGAGAAGTACCATTTGACCCAGCAATCCCACTACTGGGTATATACCCAAAGGATTATAAATCATTCTGCTATAAAGACACATCTACACATATGTTTACTGCAGCACTATTCACAATAGCAAAGACTTGGAACGAACCCAAATGCCCATCGATGTTAGACTGGATAAAGAAAATGTGGCACATATACACCATGGAATACCATGCAGCTATAAAAAATAATTCATTCATCTCTTTGCAGGACATGGATGAAGCTGGAAACCATCATTCTTAGCAAACTAACACAGGAACAGAAAACAAAACACCTTATGTTCTTACTCATAAGTGGGAGTTGAACAATGAGAACATATGCACACAGGGAGGGGAACATCACACACCGGGGCCTGTCAGTAGGTAGGGGGTAAGGGAAGGGATAGCATTAGCAGAAATACCTAATGTAGATGACGGGTTGATGGGTGCAGCAAACCACCATGGCACATGTGTACCTATGTAACAAACCTGTACATTTTGCCCATGTATCCCAGAACTTAAAGTATAATAAAAAATTAACAGTTGAAATATTTTTAATAGTAATTATACACCCCAACTAAGACTTCTATACTGTTCCTGTACAAGAGATTTAATAGTAACCTGGAATAGGCATAATTGTGACTTTAGTGAAACTGTTTCAGAGGTGGATTGCTATTAATATATTTTAATATTGTCAATATGCTTCTTTCCTATTTTTCATGTGCCATATGTAACCCTATTTTTGTCCAACTCCATACGTCCCAATAAATATTTATGCTCACAACTAAAATCTGTAGATGATAAAATTCAAGTTACATATGATTTATAATTTGTTTGCTGACTTTCAGTATTTATTTTGTATAAACTTTAAAACTCCATTTCCCATTTCTTGAAATATGCACCCCTTTGTTATGAAAATGCTACAACTGTATCCTCCTAAAAGATGTTTATGTATAATAAATTCCCTTGGACATTATGGAATTTTCATTTTTATGTAGGAGTCCACCATTTTTCTACAGTCATGTAATGTTTCAAACAAGATGGATCGTCATAATTTATAACTAGTTTATTCCTAGTTTTACAAATTTCTTAAGAAAGTCTTGGCATACACCTGTCTTTGCAAACCACAATTCCTAAGTGAGTGTTTTAAGACGTGAAGGTCCTCTTCTCCATGTGCCTCAATTCCCACGGCCCTCAATCCTTTGTTCTCAGTTCTCCATGTCTTTTAGTCCTCAGTCCTCATTTGAGTATGTGAAGTTCCTCTTCCCTGTGTCCCCTCAAATCTGCCTGTCTGGCCAGGAACGCTTTGCCATTTGTCACACTGCCTGCCACACCCCAGCATTAGATAAATTTCACTGCCTGTGTTCTTAGCCCCTACATCAGTGCTTCTGGGCTCTAATGGAGAAAATCACACAACTGCTTGGATTGATTTCAATTCCAGTTTATGGCTCCCACATTTACTGGGCACTCACAAATGCCTGGCAAACTTCCTGTGTTTCTCTAGGCAGCCCTCTCTCCCAGTCTCAAATTGGCAATTTCAAATGTTCTCCCTTTCCTCACACCTCCCACTCCATCTCCTAATCTGTCATTCTCAACACTAGGCCTCTCCTATTCAGAGAGAGAGCGCCTTAAACTGCACTATTTTTCCTGAGAGGTGCTGGCCCCACCTTTGTCTGGGACCACAGCTCTCCCTTCCTCAGAGGACTTGGTCTCACACTCATGCCCTTCCCTTCCTGCTTCTTTAACACTCTTCTGCTTACTGTTTTCTTCCCACCAGCACTTACCCTATCCAAGTCTTACGGATATTAAAATGAATGTTCTTGACCTTTCCTGTACTAGTTACTTCCACTTACTCTCCTCCCACACATTTGTCAATTTCTTGCATCTCACACCATCCCCAAACTACTAAAACTGCCTGTATCCAGCCACCAAGATCTCCTTTTATTGAATCCAATAAAATGCTTCTTAATTCTATTCTTGATCTTTCAAGTCCACATGATATTTTTGATTTGTCTCTCTTCTTTGTTAAAATTCTCCCTCTTGGTGTCTTCTATGACACTACGCTCTCCTGATTTTCTTCCCTCAGTGTTCCATGCTCTTTCTTGGTCTCCAATCAAGCGGCTCTGCCTATTCTTTTAAGGCAGACAGGCAGAAGCTCCACTCTTAGCGTGCTTCTCTTCTTAATGTTAAACATTTTCCGTGGATGATTCAATCCACTTCCAAGACTCACTTACCACCTATATGCTGATAACCTCCAGAATTATATAGCCTAGATGTCTCTGCTGAAACTCAGACCCATATATACAACTGTTCATGAGATTTTTTTAACTGAGGCATGTAATAAAGTCCTAAAATTCATATGATGAAAGCATAACTCATCAGGTACTCATCTGGCCTGTTGCAAACCCATCTATTCTCTCATGGTTCTCTGTGAATTTCTCTGGCTTGGTAAATTACATCCCAAATTCTCCCAGTTTCTCAAGATGCAAATATGTACATATGTATGTACAAATTGAGATCTATAGTATAGAGATATTATTTTTATTTTTCTAAAATCATTTTACATTAAACACAAAATTGTATAATTTTTCTTCTCAGTAAACCATGAATCTGTCCATTTCTCTCTATGCCCACTACTGCTTGCCAAATTCGTGCAACCATAATCACTCTCCTAGATTATTGGCACAGCTTTTAAGCTTGTCTCCCTGCCTCCAATGTGGCCCTCCTTCCATACTGAACACTGCAGCCAGAGTTATCTTTTTTTTTTTTTTTTTTTGATATGGAGTCTCGCACTGTCATCCAGTCTGGTGTGCAGTGGTGTGATCTCGGCTCACTGCAACCTCCACCACCCAGGTTCAAGCAATTCTCCTGCCTCGGCCTCTGAGTAGCTAGGATTATAGGCGCCTGCCACCATGCCTGGCTAATTTTTTGTATTTTTAGTAGAGACGGGGTTTCACAATGTTGGCCAGGCTGGTCTTGAACATCTGACCTCGTGATCCACCTGCCTCAGCCTCCCAAAGTGCTGGGATTACAGCCGTGAGCCACCCCGCCTGGCCCAGAGTGATCATTTTAAAACACAAATCTTTGTAAGTACTCCAATATCTTCCTACCATACGCAGGAATTTCTAACCTCCTGAGCATGACATTCAATTCCATCACAGTCTATTCCCCCTGCTTCTCATCCCTTGCCACTGCTGGCTTTTTTTGCCCACTATCCCAGGTAGTTGAACTCCTTGAAATCCCCTGTAAGTGCTGTGTTCTCTTTCTTCTCAAACCTTAGCACATGTTGATAACTCTATCTAGAATGCTAGTGTCTGCCTACTCAGCCTGCCCTCTTCCTCTGTGTAATTCTCCAACTATTTCCCCAGTCTTAATTCAGAGATTGCCACCACAGGAAACCTTTCTGCTGCATCCCCCGCCGTAGGTTGGTTGCTCTCCACAGTAGTCCTTCAGTGCCCTGTGCTTTCTCTCTTAATTAACATATATACTGCATCATGAGATTGTATTAAGTTGAATTTTTTTTTCCTTTCACTAGCATCATGACAAGGCTGAAGTAAGTGCTAAGTAAACAGTTTCAAATGAATGAAAACGCAGTCATCCCACAAACAGGTATTTGTTATCCAAGAGTTTATACATTATGCATGGTTCATTTTCAAAGAAATGTGGAAGAGAAGGGAACATGTGTGTCCTCCTTAGATAAGTGAGAATATTCATTCAAAATGAGAGAATTAAAATATGTGATAATCTCTCAGCATATGGGGCAGACAGGTGTATATGGACCCTGGATGTGCATTACCCAGGCAAGTAAGTTGTACTTTTGTACCCAGGCAAGTCAAGAGTTTAGGCATCTCTTCCTTGCCATCAGTAATAAGGCCCACTGGACCCATGGGTTGACGAGGGAAATGTCAGCAGTTGCAATACACCAGTATATGGCTTATGTTCTCTAGTTCATAGGCTTCACCTACTAAATGGTGCATGACCATCATTTTTTCAAGCAGCTGAAGATTAAAACATACTGAGAACAGCACCCTAATTAAATGTCACACTTATTACTACTAAAACTTTAAAATTCTTCTATTAGTTTTATTTATCCATTTTAATACACAAACTACAAAGTTATTCAACTCCACTCCTAAGCCAGACACAATTTTAGCATTTTTCTGTCTTAAATAAAAAGCCTCACAGGCTTCTCTTTCTTCTTTTTCTTCTTCTGGTAACCTAACTTTTATATCTATAACTCTATGTAGCATCTTCAGGTCTATTCAAGGATTCACCTGATGACTTCTTATGTCAGTATTAAAATGTCACACAATTTTTTAAATCATAGAAGTGATATTGCAACCTGTGCAAAAAAAGAAAAACTAACACCTTTTTTATCCCATGCTGCATGGGTAGCAAACTACCCAGCCTCTGTCTTTATAAACTGATGTTCTATTTTTCACTAAGATGCCCTACTTGCTCAGCTCAACCTGTTGAGATAGAATAGGTTATCTACTGTTATTTAGGGTTGCCAGATAAAGTACAGGATACTAAGTTAAATATGAATTTCAGGTAAATAATGTATAGTTTTGATATAAATGTGTCTCTGATATTGCTTGGGACATACTTATACTAAAGATTATTCATTGTTTATCTAAAATTCAAATTTAAATGGTCATTCTATAATTTTATGTGTTAAATCTGGCAATCCTATCTGTGTGGGTGACTGTCAGGAAGTATCATCTCAAAAATCACTTTCTACTTTCTAACCAGCCACATCCTACCCACTCCCACCCCTGTTTCATCTTTACCTGAAAAGCCCTGCTATGCAAGCTTCCATTCAGAGATGCAACAAGAAAGTGCTTAGCTCTCCAAGTTCAAGCTCAGCCTCCTCATTTTCTATTGAGAGAACAAGGTTCAGAGTTCAGTGGCCTGAACAAGACCACATGGTGATGGGATAGTGAAACTGAGAAGGGTGCCACTTTTGTTATTGTTGCTGCTGCTGTTAGCTACAAGCCCAGCATTCTATCCACTACCTGAAGGTTGTAGACAGTAAAAAACAGTGTAATTATTTTTTTTCAATATGCCATTGACAAAATGCAGCTAAGCTTGGTTGGGTAGGAGACGGCTATTGATCCTTCCTCAGAAAGCCTAAAAGTCATCTTAATATCTACTTAATTGAATGCATTCAATATAATGTGAAGCAAATGAATGGCTAACCCAGGAATAAGGATATGGGTATGGACCTGCAGCAAGAGGATGTGAAAAAGAGAGTTAGTAGCTGAAGATGTCTACATATCCATGGAAACAGAAAAGCCCCTGGGGACCCGAATGAGTCCCCCTCAGTACTATATGGAAGTCTATATCCCAGTGATAGGCTATGTGTGGCACACCTGATACTCATCAGTGTAAAGACATATCTGAAAACAATCAATATAAAGTAATACACATACATCGGAACACATTAAACCTATTTACGCTTGAAGACAACTGTTTTTGTGGGGTCAAAATCTGAACCTGTTCTCCACAAGAGCTCTCACTCCACTCCTCTAGCATGGCAAAAGTAAAACATCCATCTATATGACATCTGTTATGTTTTCATAATGCTCAATATAATTTTAATACTGTAAAATCACAAGCATGAGATTCTCAAGATCACACTCTGTGATTATTAATTTTATGTGTCAACTTGACTGGGACATGGAATGCCCAGATATTTGGTTAAACATTATTCTGGGTGTGTCTGTGAGGATGTTTCTGGATAAGATTAACATTTGAACCAGTAGACTGATTAAAGTAGATTGCCCTGCCAAAGGTGGGCTGGCCTCATTCAATCTGTTGAAGGCCTGAATAGAAAAAGAAAAAAAATTGCTGAGAAAGAAAGAATTTCCTCTCTGCTTGCGTGCCTTTGAGCATCAGTTTTCTACTGCCTTTAGACTGGAACTGAAATATATGTCATTGACTCTCCTGGTTCTCATGCTTTCAGACTGCGGACCTTAGCCTCCATAGTCACATAAGCCAATTTCTTATAATAAATGTATCTATTTCTATCTGTCTATCTATTGATCTACTCTGTATATCTAGTCTTTGGTTGGTTCTATTTATCTGGAGAGCACTGATTAATACAACCTCCCTTGCCCTTCAGCTCCTGAAGGATTCAGTCATCAAATAAATGGATGAAGTTTATATTCTGAATGGATCAAGGCCTCAGCATGGATGAAGATCAGGATCTGTCTATTGTCTGTCCTGAGAGTGAGCTTAAAACAGGTGGCTTTTCTGAGATATAACGTAAAAATTTAGCAGATAGCCATGTGCTTAGGAACAAGAAGGAATACCAGGCCTACATTATGCTGGTGACTACAGCTGATGTGATATAAACAGGCACATGAGAAAGCTGGTGTCCATAATCAGAGGAACCTAGTGACTATGCCAACTGTAGAATCTGACTTGGAACTAAATAGCCAACCAAAAGAGGATTCAGTACACTTATAAATATAATTCATAAAATTAAAGACAAACAGAAATAGATTAGGGGCAGTGGATAGAGACATCTAAGACTGAAGCCAGAGGTTTCTGCCAAGAAGGATACATATGATGTGCTGGAACCAGCTCTTACTAGTTTCTGAGAGCTGACTGTGTACCTCTCTTCCCACCTCCATCTACAGTGACCTCATGTTGATAACTTGAAAGTGAAAATGACCAGAGTAGGAGTATTTATACATGGAAGTTCACAAAGGCTACATATCAGTATTATTTTTTGTTTTTGAGAGCTAGTTTACAAGCACAGCACTGTTCACTACCTAAAATCCAGTGAAGGAAACATGACAGGGGACAGTACAGGACCAACAGGCCAGGCCTAGGATGCTTTCAAAGAAGGTGTACATGTAGATACGTTCCTTGGAGTAGGAGAGGCAGACCCAGAAGTAGAATTGTAAAGAAGGATCTGACATAATTTCCCCAGACCTAGAAGCCCTACCTATCCAAATCTAACTCAGAATAGATATCCAGGAAGTTTATCTCAAATTACTTTGAGGCAGAGGAAAGGGAGAAAGTGTGACCTTTAAGTAATATTCAGAAATCAATGCTAAAACATGTCCATTTTTATTTTTGTTTGCTTCCTGAACTTTCTTTTGAAAAATTCAAATCCTGTATTTGCTGTTCTAGGAAATATTATTTCAAAAGTTTAGTCAGTATAGCCCCAAACGAGGTTGCCAGAGCTAGTGGAGGAAAAATAAGCAAAAAGAATGTAAAGTTAAACTCAGCTTGCTTCTAAATAGAAACTAATAGCTATTTGACAAACTACAGCTATACCTGAAATTTGCAAAACTGCATCCAGAGGCTCTATGGGACATGCACACACTAGTGAAGATCCCAAATGTAATAATGAAGGCTTCAGACCGCATCCTCAGGGATAGCCCCTGAATTTGTTCAATAGTATCAGAATTGCCCATTAATTTGCTTTTTCTGTAACTCTAAGACAGGAACAAACCTTGAACAATCCGTGTTTGCATGAGCAAGAAAATAATTGCTTTAGCACTTTAGCAGGAGGTAATTATCTAAGCTTATTCCAAAGAAAAGGAAATTTCTTGCATTTTCTGTACCAGTTTTGCCAGTCCTGATAAAGACCTCTGATTATGAAATTGCTCTGTATGTGCAAGACACAGCCTTTAGCTCTTTGGCTTAGATAAGAAACCATTTCATTTACTATTCCAAATGTAATAGCCATTTACAGGATATGTAAAAGAATGTTTAGGGATAACATCAGAAATAAGTATGTATACATTTGTGTGTGTGCTGATTTTTCTACTTTGAGCTTATGTAAAAGCCTTTTTGATATTTCTTTAAAAAATTCACACAAGTCACAATTCAAGAGAATACTCATTTAAAAAGTATGTATAGATATAGTGTTTTAAACAAGAAAATCGTATTAGTCATCAATTAATTCAAAGCCTAAATGCTACAGATGAAGAAACAGCTGGTTTGCTCATGAAAGAGCTCAACTCTAATCTTCTGGCTCTGAATATAGTGTTCTTTCTAGTACTATAATACATTTCTTCCCTGAAAAGAAATGGCAACCTAAAACCTATTGACTGAGGTGTGTAAAACACTGACTATGGAGATATTTAGAAATTCAGGTGAAGTGGGAGCAAAGCAGGTTAACTGAAAGCCAAACACGATGATACCTGGATAATCCTGTCTCCTATTTTCAGCAACCTAAGAGAACCTCAGCCGGTAATCTCAATTAGGGTCGTCTGCAGAAACCTCTATTTCTTCCCCTACATTCATGCTGAGTAACTTTGACTAAGTAATCACAGCTGCCAAATACAGGACAGGGCACTTTCTAAAATCCCTTCTTCCTATAAAATGTTCATGTCTAACCCCATGGCCACTTTCCCATTTATCCGTTTGAGTATTTTACTATTCACTGGCTCACCAGGTAACTCTGTTACCTGTGTTAAAAATGCTAGGGAGTCTGTACTGTATTTGCCCGGCATTTGCAATAAAATGTCTTACTCTTTTTTGGTGCATGAGAGGTCTTTATACACACCAACATAGAGTGTTGTACCTGTATTTTTATAGGTACAATCTTGCTTTAAATTTCTTGTCCTTAATATTATTTCATGCTTTCTGGGACAATGACCCTTGATGCATTACATTATTGTATTAATTGTTTTGATGATTAAAAACAAAGCAAGTTCAGAAGGTTTTCATTCTGACATCATTTATTCTATTTCTAGTTTATACTGACCTGTGTCTGAAAACTACTTGTGATTATAAAAATTAAATCAATATGAAGAAGTTACTGGATCTGATTATGCCAGTGTAGCTCTGCACAATTCCCAAAGATGCCATTCACACCATACTGGATGTGGATGGCTCCCCCTCAAGTATGTACAACCTGCATGGCCATACACAGTGGTGTCATCTCCTATGGGGCTCATTTTCCTATCATTACTTATAGAGCATAAGAGCAAATTCCATGTAAAAGTTTTACACTCTGCAGCAACTACTTACTTGCTTCCTTTTTGTCCCATTTTGCAACTCCTCTCCTGAGTCTCAAATATATAGACTCCATAGCTAACAAAACTTCAACTACTTGATCTGTGGAGACAGAGGGAAAATTGTCTGCTCAAGACTATCAAAAGTAGGAATCTCTTAAGTAGGAAGATATGATTTCAAAATCCCCATTCAATTACTTGAACATGTTATTTATGGACTCTAAGCCTCATTTTCTTCAGTGGTAATATAATGGTAGTAGAACCTCAGTTTTTTCACTCAGTTACTGCAATGATATTAAGTCAAAAAGAAGTCAGCACGGTTTCTGCCATATGCAGGGGCTTGAGAGATATTTAAGGACCCTGAAGGTATTCCTGTGATAGCCCTGAGATTTAGCTCAAACATTGACTTAAGGACCACCATTCACTCTGTTAACCTAAAGGACTCAAGCATAGCAGGCTGTCCACTCACGGAAAAATCAATGTCAAAACAAGGAAACTGGAAAAAAAAAACACAAACAAACACATCACAGTAGAAGAAATATAAATTAACACTTGTAATTTAGGGAACACAAATGTAAACAACAGAAAAATTTCTTACCTATTAACAAAAATAAAAAATATTGATGTTAAGAAAGTTAAAATGAAATACTATCACACACCACTACCAGGACTATTAATTGGCATCATTTTTTGGTAAAGCAATGTGACAGCAGAACACAGGACCATTAAAAAGTTAATGCTCCTTGACTTAGGAATTCTATTTATAGGAATAATCCTAAAGAACCCAGAGATGCACATAAAAAGGTATGCATAAAAATAAATATACATGGAAAAATTGGAAAAAACCCTTATATCTCTAACAAAATAATGGTACATCCATCCAATACAATATAATGCAGAAACTAAAATAATTTTTAGCAGAATGTTAAATGGCACGCAACAAAAATGTACCCTACCTAGTGTTGAGTGAGGAAGGCAAAGTAGATTTCTAATTTATGCAAAATGGCAGGGTGGGCTTTCAGGGAAAGTATTCCTGGTATAGCACACCTAGAAATGCTGTATAAAATAGAAAAATATCACTTTAATGCATAGCTGAACTTGTAGGAAATTAAGGGAATTAATTATTCAGAAACTAGAAAAGAGGAGTAAAGACAAATCCACTGAGGTAGGTGAGCACTTGAATTTACATTTTCCTGGGTACTTGCTACTGTGTCCAGAGATTGTGTTCTACTAGGCCACAGATGCTACAGTCAAGAGACAAAGCCTGGGGTGCTAGGAGGGATCAGAGGTAGACAAGAGACTTCTGCGTTACCTAAAGGATACCATTTCCAGAGACTGATTCAAATATAAAGGTACCTTGCAAATAAAATTGTCAGGCCTCTGAACCAAAGCTAAACCATCATATCCCCTGTGACCTGCACGTACACATCCAGATGGTCGGTTCCTGCCTTAACTGATGACATTCCACAACAAAACAAGTGAAAATGTCCTGTTCCTGCCTTAACTGATGACATTACCTTGTGAAATTCCTTTTCCTGGCTCATCCTGGCTCAAAAGCTCCCCCACTGAGCACCTTGTGACCCCCCCCAACCCCTGCCAGCCAGAGAACAACCCCCCTCTCTGACTGTAATTTTCCTTTACCTACCCAAATCCTATAAAATGGCCCCACCCCTATCTCCCTTCCCTGACTCTCTTTTCGGACTCAGCCTGCCTGCACCTAGGTGAAATAAACAGCCTTGTTGCTCACACAAAGCCTGTTTGGTGGTCTCTTCACACAGATGCATGTGAAATTTGGTGCCATGACTCGGACTGGGGGACCTCCCTTGGGAGATCAATCCCCTGTTCTCCTGCTCTTTGTTCCATGAGAAAGATCCACCTACAACCTCTGGTCCTCAGACCAACCAGCCCAAGGAACATCTCACCAATTTTAAATCCGGTAAGCGGCCTCTCTTTACTCTCTTCTCCAGTCTGTCTCACTATCCCTCAACCTCTTTCTCCTTTCAATCTTGGTGACACACGTCAATCTCTTCCTTCTCTTAATTTCAGTTCCTTTCCTTTTCTGGTAGAGACAAAGGAGATGTGTTTTATCCATGAAACCAAAACTCCGGCACTGGTCACAGACTCGGGAAGACAGTCTTCCCTTGGTGTTTAATCATGCAGGGACACCTGCCTAATTATTCACCCACGTTTCAGAGGTGTTTGACCACTCTGGGACGCCTGCCTTGGTCCTTCACCCTTAGCGGCAAGTACTGCTTTTCGGAGGGGCAAGAATTCCCCGACCCCATCTCTCCGTGTCTCTACTCCTTCTCCACTTTCCTGGAGGGCAAGCACCCCCTTCCCCTTCTCTCAATGTCTCTACCCCTTATCTGCTTTTCCAGGAGGAAAGAACCTCCTGACTCCTTCTCTCCATGTCTCTACCCCTTCTCCACTTTCCTGGGGGCAAGCACCCCCAACCCCTTCTCTCCATGTCTCTCTCTTTTCTCTGGGCTTGCCTTCTTCACTATGGGCAGCCTTCCACCCTCCATTCCTCCTTCTCCCTGTGTTCTCAAGAACTTAAAACCTCTGCAACTCAACCTGACCTAAAACCTAAATGCCTTATTTTCTTCTACAATGCCGCTTGAACCCAATACAAACTTGACAGTGGTTCCAAATAGCCAGAAAATGGCACTTTTGATTTTTCCATCCTACAAGATCTAGATAATTCTTGTTGTAAAATAGGCAAATGGTCGGAGGTGCCTGATGTCCAGGCATTCTTTGACACATTATTCCCTCCCTAGTCTCTGTTCCCAATGCGACTCATCCCAAATCCTCCTCCTTTCCCTCCCGCCTGTCCTCTCAGTCCCAACCCCAAGTGTCCCTGAGTCTTTCTAATCCTCCTTTTCTACAAACCCATCTGACCTCTCCCCTTCTCTCTAGGCTGCCCCTCGCCAGGCCAAGCCAGGTCCCAATTCTTCTTCAGCCTCTGCTCCCCAATCCTATAATCCTTTTATCACCTCCCCTTCTCACACCCGGTCTAGCTTACAGTTTCGTTCCGAGACAGCCCTCACCCACCTGCCCAGCAATTTCCTCTTAAAAAGGTAGCTGGAGCTAAAGGCATAGTCAAGGTTAATGCTCCTTTTTCTTTATCCGACCTCTCCCAAATCAGTTAGCTTTTAGGCTCTTTTTCATCAAATATGAAAAACCCAGCCCAGTTCATGGCCCGTTTGGCAGCAACCCTGAGACGCTTTACAGCGCTAGACCCTAGAAGGTCAAAAGGCCGTCTTATTCCCAATATACATTTTATTACCCAATCTGCTCCCAACATTAAATAAAGCTCCAAAAATTAAATTCCGTCCCTCAAACCCCACAACAGGACTTAATTAACCTCACCTTCAAGGTGTACAATAATAGAGTAGGGGCAGCTAAGTAGCAACATATTTCTGAGTTGCAATTCCTTGCCTCCACTGTGAGACAAACCCCAGCCACATCTCCAGCACACAAGAACTTCCAAACGCCTGAACCGCAGCTGCCAGGGATTCCTCCAGAACCTCCTCCCCCAGGAGCTTGCTACAAGTGCCAGTAATCTGGCCACCGGGCCAAGGAATGCCCGCAACCTGGGATTCCTCCTAAGCTGTGTCCCATCTGTGCAGGACCCCACTGGAAATCGGACTGTCCAACTCGCCCGGCAGCCACTCTCAGAGCCCATGGAACTCTGGCCCAAGGCTCACTGACCAATTGCCTCAGAAGCTTCCTGGACCATCACAGACGCTTTAGGTAACTCTCACAGTGGAGGGTAAGTCCGTCCCCTTCTTAATCAATACGAAGGCTACCCACTCCACATTATCTTCTTTTCAAGGGCCTGTTTCCTTTGCCTTCATAACTGTTGTGGGTATTGATGGCCAGGCTTTTAAACCTCTTAAAACTCCCCAACTCTGGTGCCAACTTTGACAATACTCTTTTAAGCACTCCTTTTAGTTATCACCACCTGCCCAGTTCCCTTATTAGGACGAGATATTTTAACTAAATTATCTGCTTCCCTGACTAGTCCTGGGCTACAGCTACACCTCACTGCTGCCTTTACCCCCAGTTCAAAGCCTCCTTCACATCCTCATCTTGTATCTCCCCACCTTAGCCCACAAGTATAGGATACCTCTACTCCCTCCTTGGCAACCGATCATGCACCCCTTACCATCTCATTAAAACCTAATCACCCTTCCCCTCCTCAATGCCAATATCCCATCCCACAGCATGCTTTAAAAGGATTAAAGCCTGTTATCACTCGCCTGCTACAGCATAGCCTTTTAAAGCATAAACTATCCTTACAATTCCCCCATTTTACCTGTCCTAAAACCAGACAAGACTTACAGGTTAGTTCAGGATCTGCGCCTTATCAACCAAATTGTTTTGCCTATCATCTACCCCATAGGACCAAACCCATATACTCTCCTATCCTCAATACCTCCCTCCACAATGAATTATTCTGTTCTGGATCTCAAACATGCTTTCTTTACTATTCCTTTGCACCCTTCATCCCAGCCTCTCTTGGCTTTCACTTGGACTGACCCTGACACCCATTACGCTCAGCAAATTACCTAGGCTGTACTGCCACAAGGCTTCACAGACAGCTCCCTTTACTTCAGTCAAGCACAAATTTCTTCCCCATCTGTTACCTATCTCGGCATAAGTCTCATAAAAACACACATGCTCTCCCTGCCGATCATGTCCGACTGATCTCTCAAACCCCAACATCTTCTACAAAATAACAATTCCTTTCCTTCCTAGGCATGGTTGGATACTTTCGACTTTAGATACCTGGTTTTGCCATCCTAACAAAACCATTATATAAACTCACAAAAGGAAACCTAGCTGACCCCATAGATCCTAAATCCTTTCCCCATTCCTCTTTCTGTTCCTTGAAGACAGCTTTAGAGACTGCCCCCACCCTAGCTCTCCCTGACTCATCCCAACCCTTTTCATCACACACAGCCAAAGTGCAGGGCTGTGCAGTCAGAATTCTTACACAAGGACTGGTACCATGCCCTGTAGCCTTTTTATCCAAACAACTTGACCTTACTGTTTTGCCTAGCCCTCAAGTCTGTGTGCGGTGGCTGCCACCACCCTAATACTTTTAGAGGCCCTTAAAATCACAAACTATGCTGAACTCACTCTCTGCAGCTCTCATAACTTCCAAAATCTATTTTCTTCCTCACACCTGACATATACTTTCTGCTCCCTGGCTCCTTCAGCTGTACTCAGTCTTTGTTGAGTCTCCCACAATTACCATTGTTCCTGGCCCAGACTTCAGTCCGGCCTCCCACATTATTCCTGATATCACACCTGACCCTCATGACTGTATCTCTCTGATCCACCTGACATTCACTCCACTTCCCCATATTCTTATGTGTTCCTAACCCTGAACACACTTGGTTTATTGATGGCAGTTCCACCAGGCCTAATCGCTACTCACCAGCAAAGGCAGGCTATGCTATAGTATTTTCCACATCTATCATTAAGGCTACTGCTCTGCCCCCCTCCACTACCTCTCAGCAAGCCGAACTCATTGCCTTAAGTCAAGCCCTCACTCTTGCAAAAGGACTACACATCAGTATTTATACTGACTCTAAATATGCCTTCCATATCCTGCACCACCATGCAAGAGGTTTCCTCACTACACAAAGGTCCTCTATCATTAATGCCTCTTTAATAAAAATGCTTCTCAAAGCCACTTTACTTCCAAAGGAAGACAGAGTCATTCACTGCAAAGGCCATCAAAGGGTATCAGATCCCATCGCTCAGGACAATGCTTATGCTGATAAGATAGCTAAAAAACCAGCTAGCGTTCCAACTTATATCCCTCACTTTCAGTTTTTCTCCTTCTCATCTGGCTACTCCCACCTACTCCCCTGCTGAAACTTCCACCTATCAATCTCTTCCCACACAAGGCAAATGGCTCTTAGACCAAGGAAAATATCTCCTTCCAGCCTCACAGGCCCATTCTATTCTGTCGTCATTTCATAACCTCTTCCATGTAAGTTACAAGCCACTAGCCCTCTCTTAGAACCTCTCATTTCCTTTCCATCATAGAAATCTATCCTCAAGGAAATCACTTCTCAGTGTTCCATCTGCTATTCTACTACTCCTCAGGGATTATTCAGGCCTCCTCCCTCCCCTACACATCAAGCTTGGAGATTTTCCGCCGCGCCCGCCCACCCCCGGACTGGCAAATTGACTTTACTCACATGCCTCGAGTCAGGAAACTAAAATACCTCTTGGTCTGGGTAGACACTTTCACTGGATGGGTAGAGGCCTTTCCCACAGGGTCTGAGAAGGCCACCACAGTCATTTCTTCCCTTCTGTCAGACATAATTCCTCGGTTTGGACTTCCCATCTCTATACAGTCCGATAACAGACCGGCCTTTACTAGTCAAATCACCCAAGCAGTTTCTCAGGCTCTTGGTATTCAGTGGAACATTCATATCCCTTACCGTCTTCAATCTTCAGGAAAGGTAGAACGGACTAATGGTCTTTTAAAGACACACCTCGCCAAGCTCAGCCTCCAACTTAAAAAGGACTGGACAGTACTTTTACCTCTTTCCTTTCTCATAATTCAGGCCTGTCCTCGGAATGCTACAAGGTAAAGTCCATTTAAGCTCCTGTATAGATGCTTCTTTTTATTAGGCCCCAGCTTCATTCCAGATGCCAGACCAACTTGAACTGCACCCCAAAAAACTTGTCATCCCTACTATCTTCTGTCTAGTCACACTCCTATTCACTTTTCTCAACTACTCATAAATGCCCTGCTCTTGTTTACACTGCCGGTTTTCACTGTTTCTCCAAGCCATCACAGCTGATATCTCTTGGTGCTATCCCCAAACCACCACTCTTAACTCCCTCTTAAAGTAAATAAATAATCTTTGCTGGCAGGGCTATGCTGAACCTCCTTAGGCACTCTCTAATTAGATGTCCTAGGTCCTCCCAATTCTTAGTCCTTTAATACCTGTTTTTCTCCTTGTCTTATTCCATTTAGTTTTTCAATTCATACAAAACCGTATCCAGGCCATCACCAATCATTCTATACGACAAATGTTTCTTCTAACAACCCCACGACATCACCCCTTACCACAAAATCTTCCTTCAGCTTAATCTCTCCCACTCTAGGTTCCCACCCGCCCCTGATCCCACTTGAAGCAGCCCTGAGAAACATCGCCCATTCTCTCTCCACACCACCCCCAAAAAATTTTTGCCGCCTCAACACTTCAACACTATTTTGTTTTATTTTTCTTATTAATATAAGAAGACAGGAATGTCAGGCCTCTGAGCCCAAGCTAAGCCATCATATCCCCTGTGACCTGCACATACACATCCAGGTGGCCAGTTCCTGCCTTAACTGATGACATTCCACCACAAAAGAAGTGAAAAGGCCTGTTCCTGCCTTAACTGATGACATTACCTTGTGAAATTCCTTTTCCTGGCTCATCCTGGCTCAGAAGCTCCCCTACTGAGCACCTTCTGACCCCCACCCCTGCCAGCCAGAGAACAACTCCCCCCTTTGACTGTAATTTTCCTTTACCTACCCAAATCCTATAAAATGGCCCCACCCCTATCTCCCTTCCCTGACTCTCTTTTCGGACTCGGCCCGCCTGTACCCAGGTGAAATAAACAGCCTTGTTGCTCACACAAAGCCTGTTTGGTGGGAATCCTTGCACAGACACAGGTGAAAAAAATTAATGGAACGATTTACTGTCTCAGCAAGAATAGAAAGAAATGAGTAAAGGAGAGAAGGAAGGAGGGAAGGAAGGAAGGAACGAAGGGATATTTTCTTGTGTATTCCTAATCATAAGCCTACATTTAGGTAGACTTAAAAATGGAGTTCATGCTGTGTATGTGACCTAACACCCCAAATCAAAAATTTACTTTCACCTTGTCCAGATAAATGCCATAGGAAGAAAGAATTCTAAATATGCATGTACCTAATAACATTATATGTTATGTGTATATTTGTAGAACTATATTTAAAACTGGCAGAACTACAAGAACAAATACATAATTCTATTATCATAGTAGAAGATTTGAATGTATCTCTGTGATTGATAAACAGAACCAAAAATATTGTTAATGATACAGAAGATTTGAATAACACAATTAACAAGCTTGATTTAATGGGCGTATACAGAATTCTGCACTGAGCAACTGCAAAATGCACATTTTAGACATATATGAAACATTTGCAAAAATTAACCCTGTATTATACTGCAAATTAAATCTTAATAAATTTCAAAGGACTAGTATCCCGTTGACCACATTCTCTAACTCAGTGGTTCTCAAATTAGCATTCATTAAAATAACAGGAAAGACTTGTGTTAAAATCCAAATTACTCCACCCCATCCACAAAGATTCTGATACGGTAGGTCTGGAATTGAGGCCAAGAATTTGCATTTTTAACAGGTTTTCTATTGTATTGGTTCCCTAGGACTGCCCTTAACAAAATATCACAAACTGGGTGGCTGAAAACAACAGACACAGAAAACAACAGAAATATATTTTCTCACATTCTGGAGGTTAGACGTTTGAAATCAAGGTGTTGGCAATGCTCTGTCTAAAGGTTATAGGGGAGTCTGCTCGATGCCCTTCTCTTAGCTTCTGGTATTGCCAGCAATCCTTGGCATGCGTTGGCTTTTTAGCACATCAGTAAGCTGGGCGTGGTGGTTAATCCCTATAATACCAGCACTTTGGGAAGTAGAGGTGGGCAGATCTCTTGAGTCCAGGAGCTGGAGACCAGCCTGGGCAACATGGCAAAACCCTGTCTCTACAAAAAATACAAAAATTAGTTGAGCGTAGTTCTCTGCACCTGTGGTTCCAGCTGCTCAGGAGGCTGAGATGAGAGAATTGCTTGAGCTAGGATGTCAAGGCTGTAGGGAGCTGTGATTATGCCACTCCACTCCAGTCTGAGCAACAAAGTGAAACTCTCAGAAAAAAAGAAAACAAAATTCCAATTACTCCAGTCTCTGCCTCTATCATCACACGGTATTTTCCTTGTGTGCCTCTGTGTCTCTTCTCTTCTTATAATTATATTAGTCATATTGAATTAGGGCCTATCCTAATCCAGTATGGCATCATCTTAATTTGATTGTACTAAAGACCAGTTTCCAAATAAGGTCACATGCATTCACAGGTACCTGAGGTTAGGACTCCAGCATATATTTTGGGGGAACATAATTCAATTCACACCAGGTAATCTTGTCGCTGCTAGTTCTGGAACCATACTTTAAGGACCACTGCATTAAATAAAATGAAATTAAGTCAGATGCCAATAATTGAAAGCTTTTATTTTATAAAGTCAATATGTTAAGAACTTAAAAACATTCCTCCAAGTAAGAAATCACAATGAAAATGAGAAAATACTTATAATTGAATAATTACAGTACTACATGTCTACATTCATATACGTAGCTAAACCAGTACTAAGAGGGAAATTTATAATTTTAATATTTATATTGGAAAATAAAAATAGTCAAAATAAATGGGCAAAGAATTAGAAGGAAGGAGTAGAAATAAAAGGAGAAATAAATAAAATAGCAAGGTGCGTCTTTCAAGACTAATAAAATAGAAAATAAAACAACCATTTGACAGCATTTACCAAGGAAAAAAGAGAGAAAAAAATATTAGGAATGAAAAGACAACTGAATTACAAATATGGTAAAGATTAAAGGTAAAAAGAACATCATAAAAAACAGATTTTTAAATGTAAGTAATGTCAAAAATACGAGAGAATAATTTAATAAAAATAGCTCAAAAGGAAATAAAATCCTGAATGTCCATTAAAGGTAGGTTTATCCTGAGAATAAAAGGCTGGGTCAAAATTAAAAATTCAACCAATATAATACATCATATTTATAAGTAAAAGAAGGAAAACCGTGTAATCATATCAATTGGTACAGAAAAAGCATTAGACAAAATCTAACACCTCATCATGATAAAAACTCCCAGAAAAAAAAAAGGAAAAGAGGGGAAACTTCCCCAACTTGATAAAGAGAATCTACAGTAAACCTACAACTAACATACTTAATGGTGAAAGGCTGAAACTTTCCCCTTAAAATGTGGAATAGGGCAAGAACGTCTGCTCTCATCTCTTCTATTTGATATCATACTATGGATTTTGGTAAGTACAATCAGGCAAGGAAAACAAATATAAGGTATACAGATTGGAAAAGGGGAAATTAAATTAACTCTCTGCACAGATAACATGATTACCTATGCAGAAAATTCCAAGAATCTTCTTTTAAAAAAAGATACCTAGAACTGAGTCCAGCAAGATCACAGAATATAACATCAATATATAAAAATCAGGTACATTTCTATATAATAGCAGTGAATATGTGGAAATAAAAATTTTTTAAAGAGTAAAATTTACAAAAGCACCAAAACATGAAATGTTTAGAAATAAATCTTATTAAATATGTGCAAAGGCTGCATACTGAAAACTACAAAAATCAAAGGTCTAATTAAACACATAGATACAAACACATATCATCTTATTATGTTTTGTTCAATGGCACTTCTTTGCAGATACTGCATTTTTTACAAATTTACAAATCCTCAAGCAAGTCTATAGGTGCCAATTTTCCAGTAGCATCTGCTCACTTCAGGTCTTTGTGTTAAATTTTGGTAATTCTTGCAATATTTTAATTCTTTCATTATTATTGTGTATTATAGCAATATGTAGTCAGCGATTTCTGTTGCTACTTTTGTCACTGTTTTAGGGTGCCACTCACTGCATCCCTATAAGATGGTGAACTTAATTGATAAATGGTTGTGTGTGTTCTGACTGCTCCATCGACCAGCCATTGCCCCATCCCTCTCCCTCTCTTCAGGCTTCCCTATTGCTTGAGACAAAACATATTGAAATTAGGCCAAATAATAACCTGAGAGGGGCCTCTAAATTGTCCAAGTGAAAAAAAGAATCCCAGATCTCTTACTTTATTTTATTTTTTACAATTTTTTAATTTTTATGGGTGCATAGTAGGTGTATATATTTATGTGGTGCATGACATGGTTTGATAAGGCATGCAATATGAAATAAGCACATCACAGAGAATGGGGTACCCATCCCCTCAGGCATTCATCCTTTGAGTTACAAACAAAATAATTACATTATTTAAGTTAATTTAAAATATACAATTATTATTGGCTATTTTCACCCTATTGTGCTATTAAATAGTAGGTCTTATTCATTATTTCTATTTTTTGTACCCAAACCATGCCCACATCCCCCACCAAATCCCTATGACCATTCCCAGACTCTGGTAATCACCCTTCTACTCTCTGTGTCCATGAGTTCAATTGATTTGATTTTTAGATCCCACGAATAAGTAAGAACATGCAACGTTTGTCTTTCTGTACCTGGCTTATTTCACTTAATACAATGACCTCCAATTCCATTCATGTTGTTGCAAATGACTGGATCTCATTCTTCTTTATGGCTGAATAGTACTCCATTGTGTCTATGTACCACATTTTTGTTATCCATTCATCTGTTGATGGACACTTACGTTGCTTCCAAATCTTAGCTATTGTCAACAGTGCTACAACAAACATAGGAGTGCAGATATCTCTTCAATATAATGATTTGCTTTCTGTTGGGTATATACCCAGCAGTGGGATTGCTGGATTATATGATAGCTCTATTTTTAGTTTTTTGAGGAACCTCCAAACTGTTCTCTATAGAGGTTGTACTAATTTACATTCCCATGAACAGTGTACAAGGGTTCCCCTTTTCTCCATATCCTCACCAGCATTTGTTATTGCTCTGCTTTTGGATACAAGCCATATTAACTGGGGTGAGATGATATTTCATTGTAGTTTTGATTTGCATTTCTTGGATGATCAGTAATGCTAAGCACCTTTTATATGCCTGTTTTCCATTTGTATGTCTTCTTTTGATAAATGTCTCTTCAAATCTTTTTCCCATTTTTTGACAGGACTATTAGATTTTTTAGAGTTGTTTGAGCTCCTTATATATTCTGGTTATTAATCCCTTGTCAGATGCATAGTTTGCAAATATTTTTTCCCTCTCTGTGGGTTGTCGCTTCACTTTGCTGACTCTGTCCTTTGCTGTGCAGAAGTTTTTTAACTTGATGTGATCCCATTTGTCCATGTTTGCTTTGATTGCCTTTGCTTGTTGGGTATTGCTCAAGAAGTCTTTGCCCAGACCAATATCCTGGAGATTTTCCCCATTGTTTTCTTATCGGAGTTTCATAGTTTGTGGTCTTCAATTTAAGTCTTTAATTCATTTTGATTTTATTTTTGTACATGGCAAGAGATATGAGTCTAGTTTCATTATTTTGCATATGGATATCTAGTTTTCCCAGAACCATTTATTGAAGAGACTGTCCATTCCCCAGACTGTCCCCTTTTTTGGTACCTTTGTCAAAAATCAGTTCACTGTAGGTGCGTGAATTTGTTTCTGGGTTCTCTACTCTGTTGCATTGGTCTAAGTGTCTGTTTTTATGCTAGTAGTTTTATACCAGCTGGTTACTATAGCTTTGTAGTATAATTTAAAGTCAGGTAATGTGATTCTTCCAGTTTTGTTATTTCTGCTTAGGATAGCTTTGGCTATTCTGGATCGTTTGTGGTTCCATATAAATTTTAGGATAGTTTTTTGCTATTTCTGTGAAGAGTGTCATTGGTACTTTGATAGGGATTGCATTGAATCTGAAGATTGCTTTGGGTAGTATGAACATTTTAACAATATTGATTCTTCCGATTAATGAACATGGAATGTTTTTCCTTTATTTGGTGTTCTCTTTAATTTCCTTCATCAGTGTTTTATAGTTTTCATTATAGAGATCTTTCACTTCTTTGGTTAATTCCTAGGTATTTAATTTTATGTATGGCTATTGTTAAATGGAATGACTTTTTAAATTTCTTTTTCACATTGCTCACTGTTGGCATATTTAAATGCTACTGATTGTATGTTGATTTTGTATTCTGCAACTTTACTGAATTTGTTGATCAGTTCTAATAGTTTTCTTATGCAGTCTTTAGGTTTTTCTAAATGTAAGATTATATCACCTTCAAACAAGGATAATTTGACTTCTTCCACATCCAATTTGGATGCCCTTTATATCTTTCTCTTGTCTGATTGCTCTAGCTAGGACTTCTATTCACTATGTTGAATAACAGTGGTGACAATGGACATCCCTGTCATGTTCCAGATCTTAGAAGAAAGGCTTTCAGTATGATACTGGCTCTGGGGCTGTTGTATATGGCTTTTATTATGTCGAGGTATGTTCTTTCTATCCCCAGTTTTTTTAAGGAAATAATGAAGGGATGTTGAATTTTATCAAATGTGTTTTCAGCATCAATTGAAATGATCATATAGTTTTTATCCTTCATTCTGTTGATATGATGTATCACCTTGATTGATTTGTGTATGTTGAATCATCCTTGAATCCCAGGGATAAATCCCACTTGGTCATAATGAATGATCTTTCTAAAGTATTGTTGAATTTGGCTTGCTAGTATTTTGTTGAGGATTTTTGCCTCAATATTCCTCAGAGATATTGGTCTGTAGTTTTTTGTTGTTGTTGTTGTGTCTTTGCCTGCTTTTGGTATCAGGGTAATACTGGTTTCATAGAATGAGTTTGAAAGTAGTTCCTCCTCTATTTTTCAGAATAGTTTGAGTAGGATTTGGTATTAGTTCTTCTTTAAATGTTTGGTTGAATTCAGCAGTGAAGCCATTGTGTTCTGGGCTTTTCTTTACTGAGATACTTTTTATTACACCTTTCAATCTTGTTGTTATCGGTCTGTTGGTCTGTTCAGGTTTGGATTTCTTCCTGATTCAGTCTTGGTAATTGTATGTATCTAGGAATTTGTCTATTTCTTCTAATTTTTCAATTTATTGACATATAGTTGCTCATAGTAGCCACTAATAATCCTTGGAATTTCTGCAGTATCTGTTGTAATGTGTCCTTTTTCATTTCTGATTTTACTTATTGGGATCTTCTCTCTCTCTCTCTCTTTTTTCTTTTTAGTTTGGCTAAACGTTTGTCAATGTTAACTCTTTAAATAACTAATTTTTTTTAATCTTTTGGGTTTTTTTAATTTCAGTTTCATTTATTTCTGCTCTTTATTATTTTTCTTCTGCTAATTTTGGGTTTGGTTTGCTCTTGCTCTTCTAATTCTTTAAGATGCATCATTAGATTGCTTATTTGAAGTTTTTCCTTTTCTCAATTTAGGCATTCATAGCTATAAACTTCCCTCTGAGTACTACTTTTTCTTTATTCCAAACGTTTTGCATCCATATTTGTCAGAGGCATTTCGTATTTTGTTTTTCCATTATCATTTGTTTCAAGAAATTTGTAAATTTTCTTCTTAATGTTTTCATTGACCAACTGGTCATTCAGGAGCATACTGTTTATTTTCTATGTGTTTGTATAGTCTCCAAGATTCACCTTGTTATTACTTTCTAGTTTTATTTCATTGTGGTCAGAGAAGATGCTTGCTATTATTTCAACTTTTTTGAGTGTTTTATGACTTGGCTTGCATCCTAACATATGGCCTATCCTTGAGAATGATCCATGTGCTGACAAAAAGAATGTGTATTCCGTAGCTCTTGGATGAAATGTTCTGTAAATATCTATTAGATCTATTTGTTCTAGAGTGCAGATTAAGTCTGATGTTTCTTTGCTGATGTTCTGTCTGGAAGATCTGTCTAATGCTCAAAGTGGAGTGTTGAAGTCTCCAGCTCTTATTGTATCAGGGCCTATCTCTCTCTAATAATATTTCCTTTATATATAGGGGGGCTCCAGTGTTGGGTGCATATATTTAAAATTGTTATATCCTCTTGCTGAATTGTCCCTGCCATCATTACATGGTGACCTGCTTTGTCTTGTCTTATAGTTTTTGTCTTGAACTCTATTTAGTCTTATATAGGTGTAGTGACTCCTACTCTTTTCTGATTTCCATTGGCATGGATTATCTTTTTCCATCTCATTATTTTCAATCTATGAGTGTCTTTATAGGTGAAGTGTGTTTCTTGTAGGCAACAGATCAATGGATTTTGTTTTTTCATCCATTCAGCCAGTCTATGTCTTTTGATTTAAGAATTTAGTCTTCCTTCTTTCTTTCATTCCCGTCTTTTTCTAGTGAAGATAATTTTCTCCAGTGATATAATATAATTTAGTATCTTGCTTTTTATTTTTTGTATATGCATTGTACGTTTCTTTGGTTTAAGGTTACCGTGATGCTTGCAAATCCTATCTTATAACCCCTTATTTTAATCTGATAACAACTTAACAGTGTTTGTTTAAACAAATAACCAAAAAGAACACTAATAAAAATTATATGCCTTAATCCCCCTACTTTTAAACTTGTTTAAATTTCTATTTATATCTTATTGTATTTACTATATCTTGAAAAGTTGTTATAATTATCATTTTTAATTGGCTCATCATTTAGTCTTTCTACTTAGGATAAGACTAGCTTACACATCACAGTTACAGTGCTATAATAGTCTGTGTTTTTCTGTGTACTTACTATTACCAGTGAGTTTTGTAAATGCCTTCAGATGATTATTTATTGCTCATTAATGTCATTTTTTTCATACTGAAGTACTCCCTTTAGCATTTCTGAGACTTGCTGGCTTCAGGTGAGACTCTACATGTTACCAGCTATTGTGGCTACAGGGCAAAACTCCTGCTTGAGAAAAGCAGAGGGAAAGTAAAGGGGGCTTTGTCTTGAAACTTAGGTACCAGCCACAGGGGGTTAGAGCAACAAGCAGGCTCTTAGGGTCCCCAGTTCTGAGACTTGATTCTTGGATGGTATTTCTGGACCTTCCCTGGGCCACAGGGGAGCCCACTACCCTGAATGGGGAGTCCCAGGCCAGGAAAAGATCATGACGAGCTGACTTAAGAGACTTGGGCCTGAAGGGAACATCTGCAGTAGTCTGGGAGTACTCCTTGCAGTCTGGACTGGTTGTGGCTATGGGAAGGGTAGGGAAGAGCAGAAAGGGCCCAAAGGCTCTTCAGTTAGCAGCTGATGAATGCTGCCAGGACTGGGTCCTTTCCTTCAACGCAGTGGGTTCCCTTCTTTCCCAGGGTGTGTCTAGAAACTTTGTCTGGGACCTCGGGCCTCACAACTCTGACTGGCACCCTGTCCTGCTATGGCTTTGCTGGTATCCTGGATATAAGACACAGTCCTCCCCACTCTTCTCTCTCCTCTCCTCAAGTGAAAGATAGGGGTCTCTTTTGGATCTGTGAGCTGTGCAGCCTGAAGATAGCAGAGGGGAGATGCCGGCACTCCCTTGGCTGCCCCAGCTGGTGTCTCAGTATGTCATGTGCCCTCTCAGTCCACTGTTCTGAGCCCAGTTCAGCACTAGGACTCACCTAAGAGTTGTGGTTCTTATGGTGTAGACTGCCCTTCAAGTTTACTTAGAGACACAGAGTGCTGTAGCCCTCAGTGGTGAGGTTTGCAGTCGCTCAAGTTTGGACCACTACTGAGATCAGTGATTCCTCTCTGGCTAGGACTGTTTTCAATGCTCCCTCCATGGGCAGACATCAGCTGAGTTTGGTCTGGTTTTCCTTGCTGCTCTAACAGGACAGCACGGAGCTCATTGCCTCACAATTGCTGTGTTCTCCCTCTCCCAGCACCCAGAAATGAGCTCTCTGTACCACATAGCTGCATGGGGTGGGAGAGGGGCAGTGTCGATGATTCGGGACTGTTAAGTCTCTTCAGTGTCTCTTTCAGCGATATAAAGTGAAAACCAGGTACTACGAGTGCTCACCGAATTTTTGGTTCTTTTGAAGGTATTTTTTCTGTGTTGATAGTTGTTAACTTGATGTCCTTGCAGGGGCATGATTGATGGAGCTTTCTATTTTGCCATCTTGCTCCGCCCTCTCTCAGATTTCTCATTTTTTTAAATCAAAAACTATAAGTGACTTAACTTAGTGAAAAAGGCAGGTTAAAAACTGAAATAGGCTGAAATTTAGGTAACATTGTGCCAAACAGGTAGGCCAAGTTGTGAATGCAAAGGAACACATCAATGATAAGAAAGTGAAACAGTCTAATTATTGATATGGAGAAATTTTAGTGACGTAGAAAGAAGACCAAGACAGCTACAACATTCCCTTAAGCAAAAACCTAATCCAGAGCCAAGGCCCTACTAAAGCTCTTTAATTCTATGAAGCCTGAGAGAGGTGAAGAAGCTAAAGAGAAGTTGGAACCTAGAAGAGGTTGCCTCATGAGACTGAAGGAAAGAAACCATCTTCATAACATAAAAGTGCAAGGTGAGGCAGCAAGTGCTGTAAAAGCTGCACCAAGTTATCCAGAAGATCTAGCTAAGATCATTAATGAATATGGCTACACTAAACAAGAGATTTTCAATGTAGACATATAGCCTTCTATTAGAAGAAGATGTCAACTAGGACTTTTATAACCAGAGAGGAGAAGTCAATGCCTGGCTTCAAAGGTTCAAAGGACAAGCTGACTCTCCTGTTAGGGGCTAATACAGCTGGTGACTTTAAGTTGAAGCCGATGCTCAGTTACCACTGTGAAAATTCCCTAGAATTTTCAGCCCTTAAGAATTATACTAGATCCACTTTGCTTGTGCTCTATAAATGGAAAACCTAAGCCTGAATGATAGCATATGTGTTTACAACATGCTTTGTTGAACATTTTAAGTCTACTGCTCAGAAAAATATAGTTCTTTTGAGATATTACTGCTCATTGACAATGCACCTAGTCACCCAAGAACTCTAATGGGAATGTACAAGGAGATTAATGTTGTTTTCATGCCTGCTAACACAATATCCATTCTGGATCAAGAAGTCATTTAGATTTTCCAGTCTTATTATTAAAGAAGTGCATTTTGTAAGGCTATAGCTGCCATAGATAGTGATTCCCCTGGTGGATCTGGACAAACTAAATTGAAAGCCTTCTGGAAATGATTGACTAGTCTAAGTGCCATTAGGAATATTTGCAATTCATGTGAGGAGGCCAAAATATCAACATTAACTACAGGGGCTTGGAAGAAGTTGATTCTAACTCTCATGAATGACTTTCAGGGGTTCAAGACTTCAGTGGAGAAGTTAACTGCAGATATGTTAGAAATAGAAAGGATCTAGAATTAGAAGTGGAGCTTGAAGATGTGACTGAATTGCTGCAATCCCATGATACAACTTGAATGGATACAGAGTTGCTTCTTATGGATGAACAAAGAAAGTAGTTTCTTGAGATAGAGTCTCCTCTTAGGGAAGATGCTTTGAACATTGTTGAAAGGACAACAAAAGATTTTGAATATTCTGTAAACTTATTGGATAAAGCAGCTGCAGAGTTTGAGAGGATTGACTCCAATTTTGAAATAAGTTCTTCTGTGGGTAAAATACTATCAAACAGCATCACATGCTGCAGAGAAATCTTCTGTGAAAAAAAAATTATCAATGCAACAAACTTCACTGTCATATTTTAAGAAATTACCACAGTTACCTCAACCATCAGCAATCACCATCCTGATCAATCAGTAGCCATTAACATTGAGGCAAGACTCTAAATCAGCAATAAGATTGTAACTCACTGAAATCTCAAATGATTATCAGCATTTTTTAGCAATAATGTATTTTTAAATATGGAATGTATTTTTTAGACATAATTCTATTGCACACTTAATAGACTACAGTACAGCATAAACATAATTTTTATGTGCAGTTTTTGCTTTTGGGAAACCAAAAACTTAATGTGACTCACTTTATCGCAATATTCACTTAATTATAGTGGTTGGGAACCAAACCCACAATATCTCTGATATATGCCTGTATGCAGTGATAATGGATTGGAAGACTCATTTGCTAAAATGTCAGTTTTTCCTAAATTGTTCTATAGATTTCAACAATTCCAATCAAAATTGTAACAAGATATTTTCGATAAAAATCAACAAGGTGATTCTAGAATTTACATGGAAAAGCAAAGAAATTAGAATATACAAAATACTTTTGGAAAAGAAGAACAAAGTTGAAGGATATGCACTATCTGAAATTAGAACTTTATAAAGCTATAGTAACCAGGACAGTGTGATATTGAAGAAAAAGCAAACATATAGATCAATAGAACAGACTAGAGAGTACAGAAATAGACTTGTGCATTGATTTTTCAACAAAGGTACAAAGGCCATTCAATGGAAAAAGGATGGTCTTTTCAACAAATGGTGCAGGAACAACTGGACCTCTATTTGCAAAAAGAAATTAACCTCAACTCATAACTTGCACCCCACACAAAAATTAAGTCATAAATGATCATATCGTAAATGTAAAACCTAAAAACTAGGAAGCTCTCAAATGAAAACTTAGGAGAAAAATCTTTGTGACTTGGGGTTAGAAAAAGATTTCTTAGACATAAAATCAAAGACACAAGCCATAAAAAAGGTAAATGAAATGTATCAAAGTTAGGACCTTCTACTCCTTGAAAGATGTGGCTTAGAGAATAAAGAGACAAGCACAGACTGGAAAAACATACTTAAAACACAAGTCTGATAAAGGGCTTATATTTAGAATAAAAGAAGTAATAAACCAAGTAAAAATAAACCAAGTAAAAAACCAAGTAATAAAACAATCCATTTATTTTAAAATGAGCAAAAGATTGGGCCAGGCACTTCAACAAAGAAGATATAAATGGCAAATAAGCACATGAAAATATACTCAATGTCATTTGCTATTAGGGAATGAAAATTAAAACCACAAGGAGACACCCAAAGGAAATATTATTTTTAAAATGAAAAGAAAATCTGACAAAACCAAGTGCTGGTGAGGATGTGAGAGTAACTGGAAATCTCATGTATTGCTGATGGGAAAGCAAAATGGTACAGAAATTTTGGAAAATAATTTGGCTGTTTCTTATGAAGTTAAACCCCATATGGCCCAGCAATCTGATCAGTAGGTATTTAAGTAAAGTAAAACTTAAATTTACACAAACATACGTATACAAATATTTATAGGAGCTTTATTCATGACCACCCCCAAATATTCCTCAACTAGTGAATAGATAAACTGTGGTATATGCACACAAATAGAACATTACTCAGCAATAAACAGGACTGAACTCCTGATAAACACCACAGCAATGTGAATCTCATATGTAATATGCTGAATGAAAGAAGTCTGATTCAAAAGACTACATGCTATATAATTCCATTTATTTGACCTTTGGAAAAGATAACACTAAAGGGACAAAAAACACATCAGTAGATGCCAGGGTGTGGAAATGATCCGCTGAGTTGACTACAGAG
This sequence comes from Homo sapiens, assembly GCF_000001405.40. Classification (NCBI taxonomy): domain Eukaryota; kingdom Metazoa; phylum Chordata; class Mammalia; order Primates; family Hominidae; genus Homo; species Homo sapiens. The sequence goes on along the minus strand of NC_000003.12, from coordinate 173,142,659 downwards.
ACATAGTGTTATTTTTATGGGTGAAAGTAATGTTTTAAATCTTGAATTGTGTGGCACTTACAATCAAAACTTGCAGAACTGTTTACTAGGTTAAAAAAATTTTTTAAGGAAGCAGAGCTTTGAAGGCAGGATGGAGATACATCAGTGAGAGGTAGTAGGGAGATTATGACTACTGCAGAGGGATTGAAAAGCCTGTTATCACACAGCAGAGGCTTCATGCACCTCATCTCAATCAATCCTTACACCTTACCTTGAAGCGTAGTTTCCCCGTTTTTTGCAGAGAGGTAGGAGAGAGTGGGGGTGGGAAAGTGTGAATAAGACAAACTTTTTACCCAAGAAGTGAAATTTAGTCATCATATTTAGTGTACTTTGTAAAAGATAGATTATACTACTGTAATCAATGGCAGCATAGAGTAGTAAAACCATAACTGGACTATTTTTATTATGTTCAAAAACAGACAAAACTAAACTGTGGTGTTAGAAACCACAACAGTCACTACCTACGGTGAATGAAAAGGAATGGAAATTAGAAGGGGTTTCTGGGGTGCTAAGAATTTAATTTTTTATTGAGGTGGTGGTTATTCTGATGGGTTCACGTTGTGATAATTTATTCAACACACTGCAGTTCATTCATTTTTCTGGATATATGTCATATTTCAATAAAAAGTGATGCATGTATGATTTGTTAAGCTATAAAGGAAAGCAAGGGATGTTTGTCATACAAGTCACAACAGTGGCTAGGAGGAAGACGCAGTCCTTAGGGGTACATAGATTTCTTCAAATGTATCAGTAATGTGCTGCCTAAAATGCATAGAAGGTAAAGTGCGTTTATGTTTAAATATACATAATTACATATATAACATAACATGTTATATAATATTATCATATAACATGTTAGTATAATACATGATACATTTGATATATAATATACATTTATATATTCTATATAATATACATATTTTACTCTAAAACATACATAGGTAGGAGCTTATGAGATCTCATAAATGGTTTTAGAGTAAAATGTTTAAAATAATTTTCTTTAAAAGAGAACAAATACAAAACTTTATAAAATGTATGTATAAAGTCTATATTGTATCTGTGTAGTTTTGTGTGAAAGAGACAGAATGGTATGATTTTTTTTTAATCTATTCATAGTAAAGAGACTGCAAAGATATACATGAAAATGTTTTCAGTGCTTCTCTTTAGAATACAGATAATTTTTATTTTATGTACATCTTTCTGTATCTTCCAGATTATTTTATTGATCATATTGCTTTTAGAATCTGAACGGAAAAATATAAATAACCTTGTTTTTATTATTGGAAACATCAAGTGCAACTCAAGAGGAAAGACTAGGGAGGTGCCAGTGACCCGCGCCACTTGTGGGCGCGATGGGCCTCGTGGCACGGGACGTTTCAAGTCCTGGCGTCCCCGCGAGCAAGCAGCCTGATCAGGCCTCGCAGTGGGACGTTGGGAAGCCGGTGTTGGCAGATGCTGTGGCTGGGAGGAGTCCAGAGCTTCGCCCTGTCCCCGCGGGGCTGAGCCACAACTGCTTAGGTAGGAGGAGAATCATTCAGGTCTGCCCAGTTAAAGCTTTTCTCGTTCAGTGGCTGGGTGGGAAGGAAGGGAGATGACCCTCAGGTGAAGATGGAGTAAGCTGGGAAAACAGGAGCTCCTTTCTTCCTGCCCACGCGAGGAATGAGGAATGTTGCTTATAAAAAGCCCTAATAAGTAACCAAGAAATCATCTCCTGCAGGCAGTTAGAAGACAGGTAGTTCCAAAGTGGTTCCCTGTCCGCTGCACCGGGTCACCCTATCCTTCCCCACTCTGGTGAGAAAGTAAAGACTAAGATCCCACTTGGTTTCCCAATAACAGATTTTTTGTTTTGTTTTGCTTTATTCTAATATATATTCCCTAATAAAGTGTATAGTTTGAGGACATCTTCTTGTAGTCAAGTGGGAGATGATGACTGCTAATTCAGAGTTCACATTTTATCATTTGTGATACGGGTTGTTGTCTCCTTAACGCATAATATTACTGTGGATTGAAGACATTGAACGTCAAGGAGTAGGATATTAGGGAGAGAAACAATCCAAGCTCCCTGTAAGACATAGACCATGTCATCATTTCTGTATCCTAACATCATGCCTGGCGTAAAATGCGTGCTCTGAAATGTTTGCTGTATGAATGAGTAAATGAATGAATGAATGTCTTTTACAAGGACCTTGCTGTTCAAAGGTTGTTCAGCGTGAGCAATTAAAAATAGGTTCCAGCTTTGTTTAAAATTTGCATTTTGGATTTATTACCCATAAAATATTAATAGATATCAGTAAAGTTCTCTGTTTTTGAAGCATCAGGGAAGTGTTTACCATTTTTAGTAAGACTTAGTTTGAAAGAAATGCATAAAAACTTTGTATTGTGTTTTTGTTCAACCCTTTATGATTAAGTTTCATGTACTAGCAGTATTATAACAGAAACTACCCTAATTTCATTAAGTTGTTCATCCTCTGAGCAGTGAAACTAGCACCTTGGAAATTGATTATGACTAAAAGAAAGCAACCAATGAGCATGAACTGTGAGATACAGAACCTTAAAATGATCTCCAGGCATAAACCCACAGTTAATCCTTACTGCAGGAGTTTGTTTGTTTGTTTGTTTGTTTGTTTGTTTGTTTTGAGACAGAGTCTTGCTCTGTCACCCAGGCTGGAGTGCCGTGGTGCCTTCTTGGCTCACTGCAACCTCTGCCTCCTGGGTCCAAGTGATTCTCCTGCCTCAGCCTCCTGAGTAGCTGGGATTACAAGCACACGCCACCACACCCAGCTAATTTTGTATTTTTAGTAGAGACATGATTTTGCCATGTTGGCCAGGCTGGTCTCAAAGTCCTGACCTCCAGTGATATGCCCACCTCAGTATCCTAAAGTGCTGGGATTACAGGCATGAGCCACTACGCCCGGCTATTCTTTCTAATTAAGACACACAGTGACTGAAGCTACATTCCTCTACATAGAATTTCACTGCATGTTGTGTTTTTGTTGTTGTTCCTTTTATGTGACACATCAGTTTGAAATAAATGAATAGGTACCCCAACAATTGTAGGCCATAGTAACAAAAGCAGTGCAAACACCATATGCTCAAGGGTTTTTAAATCCTTTTACATCAGAAAGCCTGGAGTATTGTCTTTCAACTAGTGTAGAATATGTTGAGTCATCTTCTTGGAAAGTAATGTTCAAGTTGTAACATTTTGCACTCACGAAGAGCTTGCTGAGTTTTTCAGGGATGTTATAAAATAAAATATTATAGCAGTCTAGCTTAAATATAGCAAAATAAAGACTAATTTATCATAGCTCTAGCTAAATTTCAAAATATATGCAATGAATGAGCATGAGCCATCTGTCTAATAGAAAGCATTTTTCTAATTGTCTAATTTTTAAAAAAATTGCTGAACAATAATAACAGCAATAACAAAAATGATGATAATGATAGAACAATAGTTAGCATTTATTGAGCGGTTACTGTTTTCAGGCAATCTTCCTATATTACTCTTCTCAACAATTACATGAGGCAGATATTATAATTAACTCCATTTTGCGAATAAGAAAACAGAACCCAATGGCTATGACTGATATCAGAATTCCAAATCCCTATATGATGGGGAAAATTATTATAAAATTACTGGAAGGTGAAGATTCAGCTTTAGCTTTACATTTTAGAAAGCCTCCAGGAGTAAATGTATTTGCATACTATATGATGTGATATACATTTATGTACACCTATGTACATCTATTCTGAAATGTGCAGAATTCATGTATTTGAACCACCAATATTTCACGATTTAGGCAACTTTGAAAGGTAATTGAGTTGACCTGATACAGGATAGGTGTTAGAAAGCGTCTCTTTAACCTTTATGAGTAGAAACTGAAGCTGAATTCACACTGTCATCTAGAATTGCACAAGAAGTGGAAAATTGACATGGTTTTAAGTAGGCCAGTTGAAAGGAAATGTTTCAGGAAGACTTGTATTATAATTACTGAATAGAAATCAGCTCCTGATTTCAATTTCTTTTCATAGATAAATTAGTTATTCTGTCTTGCTGTTTATTTTAGATTTACCTAAATAAGTTGTGCATGTGCCTTTCAAACATAAACATTATTATATGGAATCAAAGTTAAGGAAGATTAATATCTTACAGAGGAAGGGAATTGTATATAACTCTGAGCTGATGTTTTTAAAATGTTTGAAAATATAGAGTTGAAAATATTGGCCTCACTTTTCTTTAGGGACCTTTAGCTCGTTACTTATTAGGAAGATAGCTCCACATCTTAGCTTAAAAGTTACTGGCACTCAACCTGGTCTGTATTTCTCTGCCAGAATAACTTTCCTTAGGAAATTCCACATTGTGGGTGTTCATCTGATTTCACATGCATGAATGCTTCAGTGCTCTCCCACTGGTTCTCAATTAAATTCCTATTAGCCAGCATAACTCAGGCAGAAGAATTCAATGCTGTCTTGAACGATCACCGAAGTTATAGCTTGAGAAGACATTGCATTATCACCCCCCCACCAAGAAAAAAAGTATGCATTTAACTTGTTAGAAATCAGCTCAATTTTGTTAACTTGAAGATGTAAGGAGCAAAAACATGATATAAATCACTTCTCATTCCTGTTGAACAGACATTTGGAAACCTAAGTTTAAGGTGAAGAAAGAAAGGATTGCAGTAGTCCTCTCTAACATACATTCCCAGACCTAATACATCTGGTCTCTTCTTTAGGGAGACGTGTGTGTGTCTGTGTGTGTGTGTGTGTGTGTGTGTGTGTGTGTGTGTGTGTGTGTGTGTGTTGAGAGTCCATGGGATCCCCCTCAGAGCAGAAGATAATGGAGGAATAAACACACAGAAGGCTTCTGAACCTTCTTAGGTATTGGGGCCAAGGCTTAATTAAAGGCTTTCAAAAGTTCCGATCTCTCAGTTAACTTCCTCACCCTTTATATTTACTGATGTAGTTAACAGTGAAGAAGCATCATGTTAAATATGAGAGTCATTACCAGATTGAAAGAAAAGACTTGAAATACATTGAAATTGACACCATTTATGAATGTAGAAAAGGAGGAAGTTTTAGTGTTCATAGAAGCTTTATCTTCTGCAGCTGCCATTTCTTTTCCTGTTTTCCTCCCATAGATCCCGCCTTCCATGGACCTTTCTGTGACTCTGTTGTTATAGAATTTGTCTAACATCGTGGTCATCTGATTTTGTTCTTTCTTATCTTTCAGTAGCAGGTGATCATTTCTGTTCTCCACCTATCCTTCTACCACCCTAATTCGCAATATTTTTTATTCTTCCAGATCTTTCACATCCACAATATTCCTTCAAGATAATGGGATGGGGTTGGGATATAATGGGCGGGAGGTGCCATTTGAAAAGAATCCCTCAGAGCCTGATTCATCTCTTCCTCTAGGCTTCAGAGTGCTGCTTCTTTCTGGGACATTCCCACCTGGAGGTGTTGCCCTAAACTGGTATAAGCTGATTTAGATGTACAGTGATGGCAGAGGCAGATTTATTTTGATAGCAGAACTTATCAGGCAAGCTCTTTAGACCCCATTTCTACTAATGTTGAAATGTGGGAATGTAGAGAGGGATTATTTAAACTTTCTCATCAAATACAATTCAGTAGTGTTTTTAAATGGGTTCTTTGGGTACGTTTTTCCTCTCAAGTGGTCACCATTTTTCCCTCCTTCCCAAGAGAGAGGACAGGGAAAGCTTATTCGTCTACTTGGTGGCTGCACAGGGAAGGGGTCTTGAGTCACTGTCTTCTCTGGTTCCCACTGGCCTCTCTTGAGACCCTTCTTCTTCCCACCTTCTCCTAGGACTGGGTGTTGACTGAGGTAAGGCTGAGCCTGCGGTCATTGGTCTGGTCATTAGGTCACCCTATTTTCCAATTAATATAACAAACAACTGCAGGGAGTTTGGGTCAGAAAGCAAGCACAGAGGCTTTATTCCTCCCTCTGCCACAGCTAAATTTAAAAAATTTTGACAGTAATGAGTATGAAAAACTAGTTAGAATGAATGAATAAGACCTAGTATCTGACAGCACAAGAGGGTGGCTACAGTCAATAATAACTTAACTGTACATTTTAAAATAACTAAAACGGTATAATTGGATGGTTTGTAACACAAAGGATAAATCCTTGAGGGCATGGATACCTCATTCTCCATGATGTGATTATTACACATTGCATCCCTATGTCAAAACATCTCATGTACCCCATAAATATATATACCTACTATGTCCCCACAAATAATAAAAATAAAAAATTATTTTTAAAAAGATAGCATAAAAATAAAAGTAAAAAATAATAATTATGACAATGAAAGCAAGCAACTGCTACATGTTCAGTGCTGTTTGCCCTGGTGTTTGGAACCCTCAGAAATGTAATCATGGAATCTCTTTCAGTCTATCTACCACACACACAGTCTGATAATTTCCAAGCCGCTAACATCAACTGCATTTCATTTGTTTTGTGTGGTTTTACCCTCCTGGAGAATTTTGAAGAAAACACCTCCTAACTATCAAATCCTTACCCTGCCTTCTTGCTTATATTCTTAGACAATGCAAAGGTTGTAGATAAGGGAGTAGGGGGCATGTGTTTAGGCAAAACTTGCCTTAGGAAAACTCAGAGTCTTTGTATGTAAAATTTCAAGCTGTCTTGATTGATTTTCTTAATGTAAACTTTTTATCGATGCATAACATACATTTGGTAAAAGGCACAAATGAAGACAGATTTAATCAAATGAACACATTGGTGTAACCAGCTCTCAGATCCAGAAATGATGGTACCAGTAAGCCCAGGAGCTCCCCCTGTTCCATTCGAGTTACTACTCACTGTCTCAAGGGCAACCACAAATCTGACATCTAACAGCACAAATCAGTTTTGCCTAAATTTAATCTTTATTTAAATGAATCATATAATATGTATTCTTTTGTATCTGGCTTCTTTCACTCCATGTTTTATTTGTGAGATTCTTCCATGTGGTTGCTTGTAGTTGTAGTTCCTTTATTCTCACTGCTAATAATATTTTTCCATTGTATAAATATACCACAATATTTTTATCTTTTCTATGATTCATGGGCATTTGGAATGTTTTCAATGTTATTATGTTATTACGTTGTTGTGAATAGTGCTACTGTGAACGTTCTTGTATGCATTTCTGCTGGGTATATAGGAAAAAATCTGCCAGTACAGGATATAGGAGGAAGCAGATGCTGCCAAACAGCTTTCCAAATTGGTTGTACCATCTTACATTTATATCTGCTTTGTGTAAAAGCTCCACTTATGCCATATACTTGCCAATACTAGGTATTGTCTGTCTTCTTAATTTTGGCCTTCTGGTGGATTTGCTGTGGTATCAACCTGTGGTTTCACTTTGCATTCCATTGATGACTAATGGGAGTTAATAACTCTTTCAAGAGTTTACTGACCATTTGGAGATCATCTTTTGTGATATGTCTATTAAAACGTTTAGCCCACTTCTCTACTGGGTCTTCTTCTGTCTTCTTTCACAGAACTCCTTTATATATTCTGGATACAAGTCCACGTCAAATATATGTACTACAGATATTTTCTTTTATTCTACGAATTGTCATTTCATTTTTAAAGATGTGTTTTGATGAACAAAAATTATTATGTATAATATAATCCAATTTTTTATTTGTATGTTCTGTTCAAGAAATCCTTGCCTATCCAAGTCATAAAATCATCCATTTTCTTTTAAAAGCATTAATGTTGTTTTTTTTACATTTACTGTTGCAATGTATTTGGAATTGATTTTTGTGCATTATGTAAGATAGGTATCAAAATTTATTCGCTGCATTTGATTTAGGCCAGCACCATTTATTTAAAAAGCCATGATTCTAGTTTTTGACTTATTCTGTTTTCTGTTGCTATAGCAGAATACCTGAGACTGGGTAATTTATTTTAAAAATAAGTTTATTTGGCTTACAATTCTGGAGGCTGGGAAGTCCAGGAAACATGGCACCAGCATCTGCTGTTTCTGGTGAGGAACTCATGCTGCATTACCACGTGGCAAAGAAGCAAAGAGGAAGCAGATATGCAAAAGGAAGACCAAACATGCGAGGCAGCCTTGCTTTACAATGGCTTACTTTTTTTTTTCTTTTTTGAGGCAGAGTCTTGCTCTGTCACCCAGGCCGGAGTGCAGTGGTGCAATCTTAGCTCATTGCAACCTCCTCCTCCCGGGTTCAAGTGATCCTCCTGCCTCAGCCTCTTGAGTAGCTGGGATTACAAGAATTTACTCCCTCACTCACTCAGCATTAATCTATTCATGACTCAAACACCTCCCACTAGACCTCACCTCCCCACACTGCTGCATCAAGGTGAAAATCAGGCTTCCAACACATGAACTTTTAGGGGACATGCTTAAGACACAGCACCCCCATTGTGTGCCAGGGTCACTCTTGTCATAAATTAAATGAACATTTATATGTAGGTCTACTACTGGACTTTTTATTCTTTTCAGGTGGTGTAATTTATCCTTGCATCAAAGCCATGCTGCCTCCTTACTATAGCTTTATTTATAGTAATTCTCAATATCCGGCCAAGTCTGTCAGCTTTGTTCTTCTTCAAGATTAACATGGCTATTCTTGGCCCTTTTTTTTCCATATAAAATGTGAAATTTGTGGTGGCTTGACTTATGAGTGAGCTATGGTTAATTTTGGTAAAAGTTGCAGGTACACTTGAAAAGAATGTACATTCTGATGTTCTTTGTTACAGGATTTGACATATGTCTATTAAGCCAAGTTTGTGGCTTATGTTACACAGAGCTCCTATGTTCTTGAAAGTTTTTTCTTTCCTTTTTCCTTTCTTTCTTTTTTTGTCTGAAATTCCATCAGCCTTTGACAGAGTTGTGTTACAATTTCCCACTATAATTGGAGATTTGTCAATTTCTCCTTGTATTCATCAATTTTTTTATATTTTATGTACGTAAAAGCCTTGTTATTCACTGAAGACAGATTTAAATTGTGCTGTCTTCTCCTTAGTTCCCTATAGCATCCTTAGGGATGAGGGGACACGAACAAGTAAGTAACTTGGAAGCTCAGAGGAGGTCCCACAAGGCTAAGATTCAGATCTCTGAGGAGAGAGTGTGGCCGGGGGAAGTCACTAAGATAGGGTTCACTTATCTCAGAACCAGGAGAACAACATGGCTGTGGTGATGAAGAAATTTGGCAAAAGAATACCTGCACTGACTGTGCGGGCCACCACCACATTGGTAAAGGCTGCCTAGACCCCTACAAACAGAAACATTTGCTGCTGGCAGAAACAGAAAATTCCAAGAAGGAAATGTCCCTTCTTCCCCTTTCAGCTTTGCAGTGTTTCTCCAGTACCCTCTATTGGCAGAGCCTAACTTTCAACCAGCTGGAAAAATAAAAATGTAGTCTGCAGGTTTCAGTTCCAGTATCACAATACAGAGTGATGGGTGGGTTTGGAGCTGAGGAACAATAAATCAATAAATAACATACCTTCTGTATTTCTAGTAATGCTTCTTTCCATAAAGTCCACTTTGTCTGATTATTAGTTGAGCCATCCCTTATCTTGGTTGATGTTTGCATGCTGTATCTTTCTTCATGGTTTTATTTTCAACTTCTCTGTGTTCTCATATTTAAGGTGTAGCTTTCTTAAGCACTATAGAGTTGGGGGTAGTAATTGTTTCCTGTGAGACCATCTTGGTCTCTGAGTTGGGGGTAGTAATCTTGGTCTCTGAATTAGAATATTGAGTTCTTTTAAATCTGAAGTAATTGCTGATAGATTTTGGTTTATGTCTACCGCATTGCTATCCGTTTTATATTTGATCCCTTTTATTTCTCTCCTCTTTGGGGTTAATCCAAAAATATTTTAATTTTTTGTTACATTAATTTGTTAATTATATATTAGTTTATATTTTATATTCCCCAGCTTCTACCTTACAAATTAAACATGAATCCTTGACTTCTTCCAATCTAATACAGATGATTATTTTTACCAAACTCCTAATAATTTTGTAACATTAGAATACTTTAACTCTGTTTACACTCTCACAACTTTTGCATCATTGTTGCCATTCTTTTTAATTCTGCCTAGGTTTTAAATCCTGTAGAGACATTTCTATTATTGTCTTATGCAGTCAAGTGACAACAGTCAATATTTACTTCTATGTGTATATTCTTACATATTTACTTTTACTATTACTCTTTAATTCCTCCTGGAATTCTCTTTTGCTTTTGCTTCATTCTCTGTGTTCCTTCTAGGGATCCAACTATACTCTGTTAAGACCTTTTCACTATGTTTCACATGTTTCCAAAGGTTTTTTAAATAATATTTTTCATTATTTTACTTCTCTGCTTAAATTTAGATATATTCTATTGCTGTTTCTTGAGTTTACTAAATCTGTCTTCTGCTGTATCTAATGTGTTGTTTAATCCATCTAATGAGTTCATTTCCAAGAGTATATTTCTCAACTCTAGAATTTGTTATTCTTTTTATAGAATCTAATACTCTATAAAGAACTCTGGTAAAGTTCTTTATCATTTCTCACTCTCTTGTCATAAATATAGTAATTAGAGTTGTTTTAAAATTCCTTACCTAGCTCTAATGTCTTGATCAGCCACAGGTAGGTTTCTAGTGTTTACTTTTTCATTTGTTTTTTTTTAATTGTTATCTTGAGATGTTTTATTTTTGCATACTTAATGATTTTCCCTTAAGTGCTGAATAGTGTGTATAGAAAATTATAGAAGATCCCGATGATGTATCTTCCTCCATAATGGATGTATCCTTCCTTTCACTAGGCAGATAACATGGCACTTCATCTTAATTTAATTAGGGACTGTTTCATATTGAGGCTGAGCTGCAACCCTCAAAGAAGTCTACCTGTAGTCTACCCTGGTTCTCAAGAGTTTCAGCTGAAAGTGTGCTGTTTCTCCAAAGCCCTTTCTCCTGTGGATCCTTGTCTCGTAAGACCGCAAAAATTTTATTTTCCTTTCAGAGGCTTTCCACTTTGCCATCCTGCCCCATGAATGCCCAGAAATTGGCTTTCTTTTCTGAGTGGTAAAAGAGCTCTGTGTTTGAGGCTTGCCACATATTTACCCAAAGCTTACAGGTTTCAACATTACCCACCAGTGACACTCCTTCAGTGAAATGTTGAGATGCTCACACTCTTTCCCATGCCTACGATTAGCAAATGCCCCTAGAAGTTGCCCCTGTCAAAGTCAGCTCACTTTGACGAGGGAGTTACACCCTCTTCATAGCCTTCTTAGCTATATTGAAACAAATGATTTGGTCTTTTATTCTGCTTTTCTATTAGTTCTCAACAGAAGTTCTGATCTACTACTCCATCCCACCCATAAGCAGAGTATAACGTGTAACTGTTTGAACGATGTATTTTGTTAGGTTCCATTTGTTAAAATAGTAAATTTTAAACTATGTCTTTGTTTTAAAGTTTTGCACAAACCAAAATTTTTTTTCCAAGCAGTTCTTTGGCTTTATGGTTTTCTTTGGCTGAGATCAACTGGGGAAATATTAGTGGATGATCAATATGCAATCAGTCCTCAAATATTTCCGTAGTCCTTAAACCTGTAAATCTTCATTAAATGTAATTGAAACATGATTGAAAAAGTAAAAAATTATATTTCTAAACTATTTTGACATTTCCTCTATCTTAATTCCGAAGTTAATTTTTCTCACAGACAAATGCATTTCCACAAAATAAGTATTGTTACTTACCCTAGAAAAAGATTCAGAAGAAATATTCAAATAATAGCACTAAAACACTATACAAGTAAGAAATGATTATTATTTTTTACCAAGGATAAGTATATACAAATTCCAAATGGTTACATTTGAAAGCACTTCATAATTATATTATCTTTAGTATAATGTCAAAGCAAGAATCTTGCAAAGAACTAGGTGAGCCCTACTTTTGGCTCAGCTGTTTATGATGGGAAGTGGCTTGACATGCATATGTAGATAAACAGATCATTTTTTACTATCTTTGTCTCTACTAGGTTCTGTAATAAGTGCCATACAACATTGTGCTGTTTATCCTCGGGCAAATCATATGGAAAAATCTCAACCAATGGTTTCTCAAGTGTTAAAAATGAGCGTTTATTCTGCAACTTGTAAAAGGAAGGACAGTGTAGGGGTTAAGTTAAAATGCACTGTAAACGATTATAAAATATTAAAATGACAATGGTGAAAGCTGTATTATATGAGATGTTTGGGGATTATAGAATTTCTTTTTTTTTTTTTTTTTTTTTTTTTGAGACGAAGTCTCACTCTGTCGCCAGGCTGGAGTGCAGTGGCACAATCTCGGCTCACTGCAACCTCTGACTCTCAGGTTCAAGTGATTCTCCTGCCTCAGCCTCCCAAGTAGCTGAGACTACAGGCACATGCCACCATGCCCAGCTAATTTTTGTATTTTTAGTAGAGATGGGGTTTCACCATGTTGACCAGGATGGTCTTGATATCTTAACCTCGTGATCCGCCGCCTCGACCCCCCAAAGTGCTGGGATTACAGGCTTGAGCCACCGCGCCCGGGCGATTATAGGATTTGTATGTTCATCTTTACCTGTCTCCATTCTACTCCAAAAGATACTTTACAGTGATATGTAATGATCTAAGAAAATAAACATCCAGTTCAACCTCTGCAAATAATTAAGGAGGAGTCTCATCTTCATGCCTCAGGTTCTATTTGTGAGGTAATGGAAAATACTATTCATTCATTACCCGTAGTGTACCCATTCCAGTGGATCATGCATTATTTGCTTGGTGTATGATAACACTGGAAGGTAGGTCAGCCATCCCTGTTTGTGATAGGTGTTCCCCAATTGTACAGACTGTTCTTCAGGACACAAAATCCTCAGGGAACAAATGTCTTGACTCGATTTTCATGTAAATATTAATTGCCAACTTACTATTTTTAAGAAGAAAAATTATACAGATGTGTGTTTATGTATAAACAGTTTCACAATGTAAAACAAGTCATCAATAATTAAACATTATTAGTATGTTTTATGTATAAATATTATATATAAGTATATATATAATACAGTGAATACACAGAAATCTGTACATGCAGTAGGATATATAGAGAGCACAATATTTAACACCATAATAGCTGTCCTCTTCAGAGAACTTATTGTGGGCCAGATGATGCATTAGTTCTTAACACATGTTATTTTGTCAATCTTTCAATCATCTCTATGAGGAATTAGTTAGTATTCATGTTTTTTGGGTAAGGAAACCAAGATACATCAAAGTTAAGTAATCTGGCTGAAAGTTTCTTCAGCAAAGAAAAGACAGAGTTAGGATTTGAACTCATATCTCTCCAAATCCAAAATTCATGTCCTGTCTTCCATGCTACTTTGGTTCTTGAGTTTGGAACGTCCTCCCAAGAAAAATGGATAACATTTCTGATCTCTTGCTCCTGAGTTCCTGTGAAGCACAATCCATTTTATTTATCTTTGTAATTCCCCAGGAATTAGCCCTGTATTTTTACCCAGCAGGAACTCAACAAGAGTTTATTGACTAAATGGATGAGTGAATGTCTACCAATAATTCGTTCTTATAAACGTATTTTTCAAGAGAGTAGCCATTTAGACTTTAAAGTGTTTCTTTAGCATCAACAGCTAATGCAGCCTCTGTCTTTCTGGCAGACTGCTTCATCCGTGGAAGCCCAGGTGCCAGTGTTACCTAAGCAAAATAAAGCATGTGAATGCATTGGCCTGGGGCCAACATGATTCACCAGACCACCAATATCAGTATCCTCTGTAGTAAGCTAATCATGAATATGCTTACGTCACCAGAAAAGTAGCATTACCAAAAAAGTAATTTTCTGGGAAAACTTGCTCTAGCATTTAGTATTTCAAAAGAAGCATGAAAGTAATTATAATAATATCTGACCCTTGTTAAACATTTTTAAAATTCATTTTATGACAGTATTGTTTTTTACTAATACTTTTCAATTCAAGCGGTGGGAGTTGGAGTAGGAAAGTCAGGAGGCGGAGCATATGCCATAACCATTTGCATGATGTGAACCTCTGGTGTTTTCAATACAGCCCTCTTCTGCTTACTAAACATGCAAATTCCTATGCATTACCCCAGACATGCTGAATCAAAATCTGTGGGGCCTGGAACCTAGAAGGCTTCAGGGGATTCTGATGCATACTAAAGTAGTATCTCCCACTAAACTATGAACTTTTTGTGAGTACAGGCATCCCAGTACTGACACAGGTCATTACAGAGTTGTTGCTTAGTAAATCATAAATGAATGATTGAATTAATTAATAAATTCTTAAGAAAAAAAGGGATATATAAAGTCAGCACCATATGATCCACCCTTATTCTGCCTACTTTATGCCATGAGTTTGTGCTTCTAACTGCTGAGGACATTATGTTTTTAACAAATGAATTTTGATTTACTTTATGGATGGATATAATGGAGCCTGGAACCAGAGCCTGTAGACCAACTTCAGTCCTGCCATTGCCACTAAATATGGATGTGCCGCCTCTCTAGCCCTCATCGTTAGAGTAAAGGTGTTAGAACAGATTTGCCCTGTGATTCCTTTCCAATGCTAAAAATTTATTTTTATATTTAAAAATATTTGTACTTTGATGGTGACTAGCCCTCCATCTGAGTACTCTTATGATGTCATGAGTTAGGAAAGGAAAAATCACCATTTTGCAATCATCATAGTTTAGATTGGTTCAGGCAAGAATCATCAGTGGATGCTAAATTGAGGGAGGAAAGTTTGATGAGGAAGCAGGAAATTGCGTGGTCGCAAAGTGTCTTCCTACAGACTGCATGTAAGTTGCAAGTGGAAAAATCTGTAACTATACTCTGGAAAAACTAGATAACATCTTGACCAGGTGATCAAAATTGACATCACCAAAGAAAAGCAAGCGGACGTTGTATGCCTCCAAATGTGATACCCTGAGAAACACACAACATTATTCGTTCTGTAGTATTCTGGCTGAGGCCGCTTAACCTGAATCTAATCATGAAGAAGTATCAGAAAAATCCAAATTGAGGTAGATTCTGTAAAATAGCTGGCTTGTACTCTTCAAAATTGGCAATGTCAAGGAAGATAGAAAAAAGCTGAAGAAAGAACTATTCCAGAGTAAAAGAGACTAAAGAGACACAATACATTATCTTGGAGAAAAAAGAAATCCTAAGAGGACATTATTGAGACAACTGACAAAATAGGCAAAATAGGGATAGGGACTGTAGATTAGACAATAGTATCATATCAATGTTAACATCCTGGATTTGATAACTGTATTATGCTACAGTAACGAAATATCCTCAGTCTTAGGAAATGTGCACTGAAGCTTTAAGGGGTAATGAGGCTTGATGTATACAACTTACTTTCAAACAGCTTAGCAAAAATAATATAAATGTTTTTATGTGTGTGCCTACATATTTCTGCATGTGTGCACACACACACACACATTAGGGAAAGAGAATTATAAATGTGATCAAGAGGTTTAAAATTGGTAAAGCACAATTTTGAGTTCTTGATATTCGTACAACTTTTCTGTAAACTTAAAATTATTTTAAATAAAAACTTGTGAATTTTTTAAAAGATGCACTTCCCACCTCTCAGTAGCTTTAACTTTAAAACATGTTTGAGAATAATTAACTAAATTGAAGGGTAGTTCAAAAGAAGAAATCTTCATATTACTGTCCATTAATTTTGCGGATCTCTGCAAACAAAGCACTGAACTGTCCAACATATGTTTCTTCATTTGGAAATTGTGACAACAATTTACCTTGTGTATTGTGGTGGGATGCAGTGGAGTAAGGCAGACAGAATTCTGAATGAGCTGCAAGATGTGGTTAAAAGCACTGATTTATTATGTGACTATAAACAGGTCATTTTACCTGAGTAAGACTTCATTACTTCTTCTGCAAAATAAACAGATTAGAGTATTTTGAAAGATTCTTCACCTCTATACTTCTACAATACTGAGTTATAGTTTAAGAAACCAAACGTGAAAGCCTAAGAATTAAGAACTTTATAAAAAGAATTAAAGAGTTGACCAAAGTTAAATGAAATTATTTTTTCTTTACACATCTATACAGCCTCTTACGTAAATAGAAACTTGGATCACTTTTACAGGAAGACAGAGCAGTGTTTGCAAAGAAAGAGAACGAGATTCAAACTTTGTCTTAAGATGCTCATGAATTTGGCAAGCTGATTGCATTTATGTTTTAAGAGGAAATGTAGCCAAAGGTCTCTAAAGTACGCTGAAACATTACTTCCTCTACTTCCATATTCCTGCCACAGCAAATGAGTAATTGTTTTTACAAATTGTGTTAAGGATTTTGAAGAAATACAATTGAGTCCTCATGGACCACACTTATAAGGATAGCAAGTTGTACAATTATCACTTCTCCAAAAAAGACTGATTTTTCTGAAGGTTCTGGTTCTGAATAAGCCATGCTGTATGTCAACAAAGAATAAGATAAATTATTTACTCCCTAACAAAGACTACAATAAAAAAGACCGGGGTAGGCACATCATAAATATTGTTGACATAGAGTAACAAACAACAAAAATAAGAAAAAAGAATCAGGATGCTACAGCGCCTAGAGAAGCTTTCCATTTTGAAGCCAAGTTGTAAAAAGCTAACTTACATTTAGGTGATTGCCTAATTTTCAGCTTTTGTAAAGTGATGCAACAACAACAACAAAAAGATACTTTTGAATGTTTCATTAATTGTGTAATAAGATACCATCATCAATTTTTCCAGTCAACAAATATTTACTGTGTTTTGAGCACATTCTGAGTATATAGCAGTGAACTAAGTATACAAAGTGCAGTCTCTCACATTCTGGTGGGGGAATATAAATATGAATGAAATGCAGACAAGTAAATACCACTATGATGAGTGGCATGGAGAGACGTAAAATACATACACAACTTGGTAGGGCTGATTACTCTAGTTCATCAGAGAAGGCTTATTTGCGAACAAATATTTAAGCTATGATCTGAATAACATAAAAAACACAGTGGAAACAATAGTCTAGCCCAACCAGTGCAAAGGTTCTGAGTTGGGAATGAACTTGTCAAATTAGCAGAACAGAAGGAATGCCAGGTGGCTGGAACATAGTAGACCAAGGGGGAAAGATATGTGAGGAGTTTTCAAAGGAGGCAGAGGC
This sequence comes from Homo sapiens, assembly GCF_000001405.40. NCBI lineage: Eukaryota > Metazoa > Chordata > Mammalia > Primates > Hominidae > Homo > Homo sapiens. The sequence continues at coordinate 173,125,455 of NC_000003.12, read as the reverse complement.
ATCAGAGATTGTATTCGATTCTAGGTGTTATGGGCAGCCATTAAAAGGTCTTTAGTAAGAATGAGGTGGGATCTGATTTTCATTTAGAAGGATGACTTGGGTTGCTGTGTGAGGAGCACCTGCAATAATCTAGAGAGGAGATCATGGGCCCTGGAGGAGGGTATTGATCATACATATGGAAAGAGGCAGACCTTGGAAGGAGAGTCAACAGGACCAAATGACGGATGGTAGGATAGGGATTAACTGACAGAGAGGAATAAAGGATAACTTGTAAAGCTCTATCTTGGCCAACTGGGGGGATGTGGTTGGCATGCACTGGGATGGGAAGACTGAGACAGGGACAATTTTAGAGAATGGGAATTAGGAGACCCGCTGGTATTGTTAAGATGTATATTTGGTATTGTTAAGATGTATTAGATAATTTAAGATGTATAATGTATATTAGATGTCACATGGACAGAGGAGTATACAATTTTGATGTTTTAGGAGGATATAAGGACTAGAGTTGTAACACGGGTAGTTAGGTATGTATGATGGTATTTGAAGCCATAGAACTGGACAAAATCACCTGAGGAGAGAATGTAGCTGGAGAAAAGAAGGGGCTCCATGTGGGCTCTTGGTGGAAGAGAAAAGGAACAGCCAATCCAGGATATTGAGAATGAGTGGTGAGTGAAATAATTGGAAAATTGGAAGAGCATGGTGTCATACAAAGTGAGAAGAAAGTGTTCCATTAAACAGAGAGTATCAGCTGTGAAGACTGCTGTTATGAGATCTGGCAGATATGAGCCTGGGGTGACCACCGAATTTGGCAATATGAAAGTCAAGGGAGTTTTTTGTTGTTGTTGTTTTTCTTAAAAGAAAAGGGCTGCTACATCAGTGCAGGCATCAAGAGGATCAGTCCAATAACAAAAGAAGAGGTGATATGGAAAGATGACAATTGCAGCAGCAAAGTCATTGAGAGGCTGGAGGGATAGGATCCAAACAAAAGGAATTAACCTTGGAAAGAGCCAAGGCATTTTCATTCAAGGAGCTGCTTGTGGAATTACCAAACCTCTTCTCTTACTAAGTTCAGCTTCTCTTACATAAATCATCTCATTTGATTCTCACATGATTCTCATGTATCCGATCATTCCCAATTTCCAGAGAAGGAAAAGAAAGTTTAGGGAGGTTGTATTATTTGTCCTACAACATGCAGTTAATAAATAATAAAAGAGAATTCAAACCTTTCTTGCAGTTCCAAACTGAATGCCCTTTCCACTACTTAATATCATGATAAAGTCTCCCTTCTAATGCTCCCTCTGACCCAACATGACAAATGTCAGTGTTTGAGATACGACGAAGTACAGTTGCTTTGATGCCATTTTCCTCATTTGGTGGCTTAGTGATCAGCAAATGGCTTGGCAATTTTAAGTTTCAGTCCCTGGAATCCATTCATGTAGAAGTTTTATGTCCACATCATTTTTTTCCTGCATCTAATGACGGCTGCAATATAGCAGGGCCATAATTACATTTGCAGCTACAGATCTTTAAAAACACTAAAAATCTAATACCAGGCCGGAAGTGGTGGCTTATGTCTGTAATCCCAGCACTTTGGGAGGCTGAGGCGGGTGGATCACCTGAGGTCAGGAGTTCAAGATCAGCCTGGCTAACATGGTGAAATCCCGCATCTATTAAAAATACAAAAATTAGCTGGGCATGGTGGTTGGCGCCTGTAATCCCAGATACTCGGGAGGCTGAGGCAGGAGAATCACTTGAACCTGGGAGGCGGAGTTTGCAGTGAGCTGAGATCACACCATTGCACTCCAGCCTGGGTGATAAGAGGGAAACTCTGTCTCAAAAAAAAAAAAAAAAAAATCTAATACCTTTCTTAACAAATTTGATTCACATATTCAAGTTAACTTATAAATTGCTAGTTTGTTTTGTTATCATTTTAGAGGGAGTGCCACCCAGTAAAGCAGCAGTAAAGTCAAATATCTTGTTACTAAGTTAAAAAAAAAACTTTTAAAGTAAGGAAAGTACAAATCCCAATCAACTTGGGGTGCAATGCAGAGGACTATATTATCCTATTATCTAAAAAGCATGGAATTTGACATGCTGGGTTCAAGTCAGGTTTGGTAAACTCTCCTGGTAATGTCTTTCAAGTTGTTTAACCTCTTGGTTTCTTTATTATGAAAATATGGCTAAAATATTTATGCAAAAGAGTTGTTGTCAGAAACAAATGGATTAATCCAGTGAGATAACTTCATAAACTGAGAGTACCTGTTGGTTGTTATTATTATGTATATAACACTGGATGGTTTATTTTGCATTTCTTAAAATACATTGTAGGGCAAATTTCCCTCTACCTTCTAATAATAACGTACCATTTCTTGAGGGTTCTCAGATAGAAGAGAAGAGCAACTGCTTGCACAGGGACACTTGTCCCTCTTCTCAAAATCTTTCCCAAATATCTTGAAATTGCATCAGTCCCATGTTCTTACAGAAGTATGTCCATTATTGCTACCATATACTGTAGAATATAGCACCTCAGACACACATTCCTTCTAATAACAAATGTACATTGAGGGTCTCTTATGTTCCAGGCTCTGAAGAAACTACACATCAATATAGAAAAAGGATTGTGATACATTTCTGCCTCTCCAGCAGTTCACGGTCTAGTAAAACAACATCTCCTCTTTTCATCCTCCACCTCCACTCCTAGCTATGAGCACTACAATGCCAAGACCCCTGTCTCGGTCATCTTTAGTTTCTCTCATATGACCTAGCACAGCACCTTGCTCATAGTAGGAACTCTATAAATGATTATTGGATTGAAGAAATATTTTGTAGTGTGTTTTTTAAAACATTTAAAAGAACTGGTAGACTAACAAGCAAGGTGTTTTTTTCTCATAATGTCTCACTGGTTACATTTAACAGCAAGTTAAAATTAGATCTTTTTTTTTTTAAAGAAAGAAAACCATAGCAACTGTGATGTCGAATGTTTCAGAGAGCACATTTTTAAGGATTCTCTTTTGCTGAATTGCCCATGTTTGAGCTGCCTATTTCAACCAAAAATTTAATAAATAAGCTGTGGTACTAATAGCCATGTAAACCACTGATTGAATCTATGAAGCAATAGAAACTCCCACATAGAACAGAACACTTGATGAAATACTTGAAGAAAAAAACATAAATGTGTGGAAAATCCACTGAATGAATTTAAAATGGTTACCCACTGGAAATGATTGAACATTAACTTCTCTTTGTTCCTTGTACTTGTATTTGTTAAAAAAAAACCTTGGCGATTGTTCCAATGTTGCCTGTCAATATTTGCTAACGATTTTTTAAAGGCATATTTCTATGAGGAAATCAATTTTACAGTGCTGTCTTCTAAATTAAAGAATGAGCATTTTTATAGAATGTTACCAACAAATACTTCTTTGACATACATAATGATGGTCTAATAGTTTTTAAGTATTTTTATTGAAGTAATGATTAAAGTGCAGCTCAGTGTCTCAGGAACACTGACTAATGTCATTTTAATCAACTTGACTACTAAAAAAAAGTGAAGAGGTTGATAGTTTAAATCTAGTTGGTACACGATTCACTTGAACTATCAAAGAAGAAAATGTACTTCACCCAAGACCAAATTTAAAACAAAAAATAAATCCAGAAATATTTCTCAGAAACAACTTTTTCAAAGGTATAGTCCATACCTTTTTAAAAAAATCCAATGTTGTTTCTCTTAAACAAGAATGTGTAAATTAGCTGTTGATTCACAGCATTCATATTGATCAACATCTATTGAATGCCTACTCTATGCAAAGCACTGAACTAATGTCAAGAAGAGTAAAGTATATTTCTGCTTTTAGGGAATTTATTGGAAGAAAAAATTCATTCAGGAATAATTGCGATATAAAAAATAAAAAAGGTGCTATAAATGCCATCAGTATTATTCTGAGGAGGTAAAAATGGATAACTCCTTGGTAGGTTTGGAAAGGTAGAATGAGGTGGGAATAGGAAGATGGGGAATTCTTAGTTGACAGACTGAAAATGAACATCTTTTGGAATAAACAAGATGTTCAGCTTGACTTCAGAGTAGTTTATAGGAGAAGTGCTAAATAAGGCTGAAAACACACATTGAGCGAGGTGGTAAAAGGCCTCAAATTCCAGATTATTTAAATAGAGTTTTATAATTTTTAAAGAAGCCATAAGCAGCAGTTCCATAACTCTTCTGTACATGTGTGACAATTTTTATTAAAAAAAAAAAAAGGCTGTACAGCTGAAATAAAGTCATCCGATTTTCAACCAGCACTGAAAAATAATGGTTGGATTTGGCCATGCTTTTTCAGCCTGCACATTTAAGACACTTTCAGACATTCAGGTATTTATTCTGAATTTGGGAGGGAACCTGAATTAGTTTCTTATATATATTGGGAATAATTGATCTTTCAGATGTCTGAAAGCTAAACATTTGCTTAGATACTTATTCCCTCTGAGTGCTCTATGTACACCCTATATAATTTTTCCCCCTGTTATTTTTTCTTGTGTAAAACTGCACTGAAGACCAAAATGATGATTTCTATAGAGCAGTTTAAAGACTAATGCAGAAGTACTCAGAATCCTATTTCTTAAAACAATAAAACCTTCCTTCTTGCAGAAAGAAAAAGGCTCGGAGTGAGGGACATCTGGGAAGAGAATTGGAGTGGGAGGAGTTGGGAGGAAAATAGGCAGAGGAAAGGAGCATGGGATGGAGGGAAATGGAGAGAGGGAGGCAGAGAGAGAGAACAATTATGCTCTAGAAGAAATGGCTATAAAGATAACTTTATGCATTTATATGTGTTAAAGAGATGTGAAATAAATACAGCAGAGATAGGTAATGCTGCTGTAGATGCTAAAAATGTTACTAATGACAATCAACTACAGATATTCTGGTACATTTTAGCCTCTGGTGCTTGAAGTAGAGAGAGTATCAATAAGATAAGATACCTGGGAGGTATCATGAAAATGTTGGAACAGCTCACAAACCGATGTTGCCTGTTTATATTTTTAACAGCCTACTGTGGATTAAAATGAACCAGAAACCCTTAAAATCAGGTATTTTGAGCTTTAAACAAGAGCTGCCTCTCTGCTACCAAAAGAAACTTAACGATATAGATGCATAGCCGGAGTGTTCATTCAACAGAGATCTTAACTGAAGGACTAAAGTTTATTTTTACTCAATCCAAATCATATGTAGATGTGGCACAAGGGCAAACAAAAAATAAAGTGATGGCCAAGACAGTTTCCCCATGCCACTCTTGCTAATGAGTAGCCACATTAGCAGTCCAAAAGATGTTGGATGCCAGCAATGTTTCTTTCTTTTTTTCTCTCTCTTTTTTTTTTTTTTGAGATGGAGTTTCGCTCTTGTTGCCTAGGCTGGAGTGCAATGACACGATCTTGGCGCACTGCAACCTCTGCCTCCCGGGTTCAAGTGATTCTCCTGCCTCAGCCTCCAGAGTAATTGGGACTACAGGCATGTGCCACCACATCCGGCTAATTTTGTATTTTTAGTACAGATAGGGTTGCACCATGTTGGTCAGGCTGGTTTTGAACTCTTGACCTCAGATGATCCACCTGCCTTGGCCTCCCAAAGGCCAAGCCATCGCGCCTGGCCAGCAACATTTACAGGCGTGAGCCATCGCGCCTGGCCAGCAACATTTGTAAGAGAGGAAAAGGAAACAGGGTCTTGCCCAAAGTGGAGCTGTTGGTGGGGCCTGTGATTCACAGTTCTGCTGATCTTCAATACTAAACACAACACAGGCTGGTTAAAATTTCAAACTTAAATGTTTTATCCTATAGAAACACAACCCTACTGTGTCATTATCAATCATTGGGGAAATATTCTAGGATTTAGCTTTTACAAATTAATATACAAGATAGCTATTATTAGAATTATTGGAATTCAGTCATTCATATGAGATAACAAAGACCATCACAGTAGATCCTTTGGTATGTCCATGTATGACCTTAAACCTTTTCTGACAACATATGTGTCCAATGGTACAAAGGGGGAAAGTACTTCAAAGGTTAGAGCCATAGGAACAGTTATGGTTCTCCCTTTACTTAAAAATCTAATGGGTCACAGTTCAGGATGCTTTTTGTTTGTTTATTTGTTTGCTTTAAGTTCTGGGATACATGTGCAGAACGTGCAGGTTTGTTACATAGGTATACATGTGCCATGGTGGTTTCCTGCAGCTATCAACCCGTCATCTAGGTTTTAAGCCCTGCATGCATTAGGTATTTGTCCTAATGCTCTCCCTCCCCTTTCCCCACACCCCCTCGACAGGCCCCAGTAGGTGATGTTCCCCTCCCTATGTTCATGTGTTCTCATTGTTCAATTCCCACTTATGAGTGAGAATATGCAGTGTTTGGTTTTAAGGGTCTTCTTCGGCAAACTACTGTCTTCCAAACAAACAAATGAAGACAATCAACAACATTAATAAGTTTTGAGAAGTGACTCACGATTTTTATCTTGAGTCGGACACTGACCTTGAAGATAAAAGGAAGCACAAGTGTTAGCTTTTATCTCATTGTTATCTTATTATATGCAGCCCTTCTTTCTTGTTATTTTCTCCTATCTTTGTGGTCTAATCTATGTCTATTAGCTATACTAAAGAACCTCATGTTATAGAGGAAGTATCTCAGGCTAGGAGTTGGCAAGTGGCAGTCCTAGGAAGGTAATAGCAATCTGAATGGGTAGGTTTTGCTAATGACCAACCAATGTGACCTTGGAGAAGCAACTTAATCCCTCTATCCCTTAGTTTCTTTGCAAAATGTGGTCCCTGTTCCTATTTACTCCACAAAGTTGTTTCCAGAATAGAATGTGATAGGTGAAAAGAAAGAGTCCTAAAAGATAGGAATCAACCATACTAAATAATTATTATATCTTAGAACACTTGATATTTTGAAACAAATCTAGAAGCACATAGCATGCAGAATCTTGGAATCAAAAGACTGTTACATATTTTGAGCATTAATGTTTAGAAAAATACCTCATCTTTATACAGTGTACATTGTTGATACCATTACTACAAATAGACTAATACAGTAGACTAAAGATAAGTCTATGGCTCACATTTCTGTAAGATTGAAGGTCATGTTCTTCTTCTTTAGAGCCTGTTGTGAACAATAGTTGTCTATGAGCTTTTTAAACTTGAGATTTTCATTAGTAATAAAAGAAACAAATTTAGGAAAGATTGTGCTCACATTTTTGGAAGCTTTTCAGAGGAAGCAGCTGGGGTTTCTTTAGACTCCCAAGTCTATTATTCAGGTGAGTAGTGTATTTTGTAATGAGTTCTAGACCACCTGCCTTTCTGAGGAAATTAATATTGAGATAGATTTACTTTGGCTTTTCTTGTCTCAGTGGCTATGTATAAAATTTTCCTATTCAATGAGTTTGGATACCCCATTAAAGTATTCATTCGATGTTGTTCAGCCACAGAGGATCATTTTTTAAGACAATGTCTAGATGTGTTTACAACAAATTCTTATCTTGGTGAGTTTTGAGACTGACACATACACTCCTCTATTAAAATAGTCAGTAGATTATGTAAATACAGTTTTACTTACAAGGCAACAAATACTAATAATGAATGAAATAGTGTTTAAAATGAATTTGACTATAGTCTAAACCACTGGAATTCAAAATATTGCCTTAATTACTTTCCTTTTTCTCCCCCCTGCAGGAGTTTTGGGCAGGATCGATGGATGCAGGAAGCAGTAGGAGTTTGGAGAATGCAGTGAATAGGATCTATCATGATCAGCTTGTTCCAAAGATAAACACAAGCAAGAAAATGTCCACCTTAGCGCACCCACCTAACATCCTGGAAATGTCACAAGAGATTAAGAAAAACTGTGGAGGTAAACAGGTAGAAATCACACTTGAAAGAACAAAAATGACAAAGGGCATCAAAGAAAAACAAAGCAATGATTTAGAGAAAGCAGCCTTTAAACGGAAGGCAGAAGGTGAAGAAAAGCCAACTAGAAAGAAACAGGCAAAGATAACAGAACTTGACAATCAGTTAATCACCATGCCTCTGCCTCACATCCCCTTAAAGAACATAATGGATGTGGAAATGAAGTTGGTCTACATTGATGAAATGGGTGTTCGCTATGAGTTTGTAGAGTCCTTCATGTCTACTGGGAGTCAGCCAACATGCCAAGCTGCTGAAATAGTAGACCCTTTGAGTGTACATAATTTCAGCTTTCTGCCTCAGATTGACAAATGGCTTCAGGTAGCCTTAAAGGATGCCAGCTCTTGCTATAGACAAAAGAAATACGCCTTGGCAGCAGGACAGTTCAGAACAGCACTTGAGGTATGGGATTAAAGAAAATATAGATTGGTGACAGGAAACTATGAAATGGAAAGTTGCAATTACATTGAGGGGTTCTGGCCATACTGTAATAAGCAGTGATCATGAGGTGAGGATATGTAATGATATTAGGATTTTGCAGTTCCCAGTTTACATAAAGCAAATAAATAAGCTATGCCTGCAAATTAATATGCCTGTGTGCACTTGATATATAGAAATAACCCCAAAGGCATACCTCATGCTTTTTACAAACCCTGAAGTGAATGGTGATATATTTTTAAAATGCAGTTGCTTTCATCACTTAGCTGCCCACCTATAAAAGCCGTAAAGTTTTAGTACAATGGTGGTGGGTAGAATATAGATTCTCTAGAAATAGGCAGTTAATGAGTATATGAATTGTCCACTTTTGATATGTAGTATCCTCATGATTAAACATAACCATCTTTACTTTTTAGCATGTGCTCATAATTTATACGTGATACTTATTACAAACAAAATAACACCATTTTACTTTACCATCAAACTTTATTTTTCTCCCCATTCTAGTGATCTTTATGAATAATTATCTTCCTATCTGTAAACAGGTAAGTTTGTGAATACCTTGGCATAAAAAATAGCCATGGACTAAAATAAACTTCAGAATCACTACTAAAACACAAAATAGGTAGTAGGAAAATTATACTAGCTCATGACATACTGTACCTATAGAAGGACCAAACTGTATGCACCATTGGCCTTGCTTTGTTGATGAGTGCATATTTCGTATTTTATTTTACAAAACTATCTTACAAAAAACATTTCAATGCATACTATATATGCCTGCTGGGCACTGGAGCTATTTAAAAAGAAATGAATGAAGACATGGTTCCTTCCCTCTAACCACCTGGTGAGGAAGACAAACCAGTAAACATTTAAATAAAGATGCCATAAAGTCCTGGCATGGTGACTCACACCTGTAGTCCCAGCACTTTGGGAAGCCAAGGTGAAAGGATCACTTGAGGCCAGAAATTCTGGACCAGTCTGGGTAACATAGTGAGACCCTATCTCTACAAAATGTAAAAATTAGCTAGGCATAGTGGCACACATCTATACTACTAGCTACAACAGGAGGCTGAGGTGAAAGGATCTCTTGAGCCCAAGAGGTCGAGAGTGCAGTGTGCTATAATTACACCACTGCATTCCAGGCTGGGCAACAGAGTAAGACTCTGTGTCAAAAAAAAAAAAGAAAAAAAAAATGCCCACAAGAGTAATTGAGCATGGGTGATGAGAGTGAGCAGGAGTCAAATGTGAGATGTTGTCGTGAAAGTGGTGCAATGTAAAGAGTAAAGTATTATTTTCATTGTTACTTGCAGGTTAAAATGACTACAGTTATAATGAATTATTAATAGATGATACCAGACAATGGTGTCCCTAAATATTTTAAAAGGTGCTACGTACAAAAACAGACCTGAGTAGATATGAAGTAATTAGGTAGCACACAAATAGATGCATCTATAAATATTCCTGTTCTCATAAAGGGTCATCTACACAAATAAGGGAAGTGTGATGTACTACGTAAACTTCTAAGCTATCTAATAAGTGCTGGAAAAATCCATATTATCCACAAACCCCCAAAAGAACCCTCTGTTCTTTTGAACAGTCTTTTGAGCTAAAGCTCTGCAGCCTTCGTCTAGGAAAAGAATGCTAATGAAAGACTCTACAAAGAATACCAGGCCATTCTGCCAGGGCCATCTTCAGCTGAAATTTATTTTCCTGGTGCAGGGAGGGTTAAAGGTATAATTTTATAGATAAAGAAAAATAATCATTTTGGCAAGAAAAAAGAAAGGCATCTTTTCTTAGCTACTGTAAAAGCTTCAAATTAAGTTTAAGTAAAAGCAAAAGACATCTGCATTAAATGAAACAAAATACCCAGTTTTCCATAAAACCCTGTGTTCAAAATTATAAAATTTGAATCAGGTTTTGTTAAACCTAAAATATAATTGTACTGCATAATGCTTGTGTTTCTCTCTCTCTCCTTCCCCGCTACCTCTTTTTTTTCTCTCTCCTGTTCTCCTTCTCTCTCCCAGGGTTCTAAGGAAAGTTTTGGATGCTGACACTAATTACTGATAATTAACAAAAATAATTATTTTGAAACCAAAACTTAGCTTAGACATCTGGCCTAGCTTTTGTCTAATTATCTAGGGAGTTAACTTTGAAATCTTAGCTAGAATATCTCAAAAAAACAAAGCTACTGGGAATAGAAAAGATTTGTAGCCTTTTCAGCCTTTCTTTTCTTTTCCCGAATTTAACTTCTAAATTTAACTTTATTAATACTGAGTGCTCTCACATATCATTTAAAGCATCTCTCCCTTTTCCTTAAGTCCTAACATGGCTTTGAATAAGATAGGATGGACGGCAGAAGCCAAGGCACAATGATAATGATCACACTTGATAGATGCTGCAAGTATTTGAGTGTGGATACATTAGGGTTAGGTTTGGCTGCAAAATAAGTGTCTGAAGGAAGGTAGAAGTTTATTTCTCTCATACATAAATGTTGGTAGTCAAGGGCTGATATGGTATGATGGTCAGGGTGCCAGGTTATATCTCCTTTCCTAAGAAGTGGCCTTGACTTCATGATCCAAAATAACCATTCCTGCTGGTGTCATCAGATACACATTCTATCCAGCCAAAAATGAGAAAAAGGAAAAAGAGAGGCACACAGTGTCTCCACGAGCACACCATTTTCATTTTTTTCCCATTAACCAAAATTTAATCATGTGGCCACACATACCTGCAAGGGAGGCTGAGAAATACGGTCTTTATTCCAGATGGCTCTAACATTCTGAAGTTCTGTTACTGAGAAAGAAGGAGAAAATAGGTATTGAAGGATAAGTAGCATCTCTCCCATAGAAGGCTTGCTATGAGGGAAGTGTTATGAGACTCTTTTTTTTTTTTTTTTTTTTTGAGATGGAGTCTTGCTCTGTTGCCCAGGCTGGAGTGCAGTGGTGCAATCTCAGCTCACTGCAACCTCCGCCTCCCAGGTTCAAGTGATTCTCCTGCCTCAGCCTCCCAAGCAGCTGGGATTACAGGCACCTGCCACCACGCCTGGCTAAGTTTTGTATTTTTAGTAGAGACAGGGTTTCACCGTATTGACCAGGCTGGTCTTGAACTCCTGACATCAGGTGATCCACCCACCTCGGCCTCCCAAAGTGCTGGGATTACAGGCATGAGCCACTGCGCCCAGCAGAGGCATTCAGAATGGTTGCCAAATATGTGGTACAAAGTCAGCTGTAAGAGTGTGTAGAGGACTGGTTGTGGTTAAAGGTGAGACCACAAAAAAGAAACAGAAAAGTAAGAACGGAGCAAAGGCCCTGGAGGCATTTAAATATTTATTAAGTGACATAACAATTTCCAATGCATCTAATAAACCCATTAGGAATGTTTTGTTTATGTGTTAGTTTCCTTTGTGTTCTTGACAAAGTACTAACTCCTTTTATTTTCATAACATAGTCACTAGATAGGTAAATTTATGATAACATTTTATAATCATTAAGGTCAAATGATATGCAATGATTCAGAAGACAACAGTTTAACTTCCAAAAACCTGTCAACTTTAGTCTTTTAGGATTTTGTAACATAGCAGGCATTTATGTAAACATGCTTAATGAAATAACTTATTTTTGCATGCTTTCTTTTTACTGTATAAAGGTGAACCAGTTATGTGGGTAAAATTGGTCCTTAGCTCTATGACCACCTCATCAATCTTTCTCAAGTTTCGTTAAAAACAGTCATCGTATGCTCTTATGTTTGTATTCACACCAGAAGCTAAACCAATAAGGGCAAAAGGTGTAAGCTGAAGATAAAAACACAAATTCATATTATTTTATATTGTCATGCCTAGATACTATTCCCTGCAATTTTTTAAAGACAGCTATACCAATTTCCCCACTACAAAAACAGTAGGGATTCTATTTAAAAAAATATGACTGCCTCATATAGTTGTATTTGCATATTAGGCAATACATACTACTATGTAATAAATTGCTTGGCTGTCAACAAAAAGTAGGAAAAGATTAATAAATTAGGAATACATAAAGGACAGAAGATGCAGTAATCATATTTTTTGTCACTTATTGGAACAACACTCAAAGAAATTATCAAAGGTTTTTCTAACTTCATAGCATGCAACTTAAACAACACCACCATTTCAATCTTAATCATAGGATCCTAATAATTAAGAGGCTTCCACCTTCTGAATTAGAACAAATCTATATGTATCCTTTAAGATTCACAGCTTCAAACAATCCCATTAAACCCATCAAAGAAGACAGAACAAGACCCATCCATTACCAACCAGAACTTTCAATTCCTCTGATTTCATCATGCAGCAGCCCCTTGAGGTGCTAATCTTTTTTTAATATCTTGGCGCTCCAGTCGCTGGTGTGTGAAGTTAAAGTAATAACTCACATTTATGGAGCTCTTTGTATGTGCCAGCTACTATATTTTACATTCTGGGATTATTTACATTCATTATTCCATTTCATTCTCACAACAAGCCAATGAGATAATACTGTTATTATTATTGTGTTACTAATGAGAAAACCAAGGGTGGACAGGTTAAGTAACTTGCTCAAGGGTCAAAAGCTAGAGGTGGTGGAGTCGGGATCCGCTTATCTGGTTTCAGGGCTCACCAGTGTGCCTCTGCTACTCTAAGTGTGAGTTGGTTGGAAATACAAAATTCTAGATCTTGCCAGACCTGCAGAATCAGAACCTGCATTTTAACAAATTCCAGATGGTCCTTGTGCACATTGCAGTTTGAGGAGCACTACGCTCTGTGATTTTGCCCTCCAATTAACACTTTGAAGTTTGGCCCCTACATTTTATAATTTAAAATGTTGTATGTCCAACATTGATTTTATAGGAAAGAATTTCTTCTTAAGCAGGTGTTTCTATAACAATAGTTCAGAATTTTTGCATTTCAAGGATCCATAAAAAAATGTTTTAAGTGTGTGTAGGGGGAGAGTGGGTTGGCATTGCATTTGTATTGTACAAGAACATTACAAAAATTACCATCTATTACCACCATTGAATCATAAAATATGGAGCAGTTTTACCCATAAAAGTTAGAAGGAAAGATAAAAAGAAACAGAGAGGTCATACTCTCAAAATGAAGGATATTTTAAAAACAGTTATATTTCAATTTTATGAAAAGCTATGTTGTCTTTATTTTTTATTTTCCCTTGGATCGGTAAAACATTGGTCTGAGAACCAGCTTTTGGGAATCACTCTTCTAGAACACATTCTTTATGGTAAATGTTAGGTATCCAACATGATTGAACCCACACCAGGACCTTCTTATGAGATTACTTCCAAGATAATGGAATTTGGTATAAGACAGGTCCATTTTGGAGCCCATTCAAGGGGGTTTATTTAATGAAGTAGAAAAGATATCTCATTATAGGGCAGCCTCACCTATAATTGCTCTGCTGAGAATAACTCTGTAGCAACTCTCTAGAGCACAAAAATGTGGATATCTCAGAAAGCTTAATTTAAATAAATTCTAGCACAGGTATTTCTTTGGTGCCACATAATCAGAAATTTGGGGGTTCACCAAATTCTCTGAGTGCCTGAGCTGTCTCATTGCAATCTGTGGATTTGCATATGAATCCAGTATGCATTTCTTAAACTACTGCTGGGTTCCAGGCATTTTGTTATTGTTGTTGTTTTTTGATTTGAGATGGAGTCTGGCTCTGTCACCCAGGCTGGAGTGCAGTGGTACGATCTCGGCTCACTGTAAGCTCTGCCTCCTGGGTTCAAGTGATTCTCCTGCCTCAGCCTCCTGAGTAGCTGGGATTACAGGCGCATGCCACCACGCCTGGCTAATTTTTGTATTTTTAGTAGAGACAGGGTTTCACGTTCTAGGCACTTTTACTCATACAATCATTGCAATAACCCTCTCTAAGATGGATATTATCACCCCATTTTGCAGAAAAACTGATGCTCTAAAAAAATTAAATAACTTACTTAAAGTGTCATGGCTAGTCTGTGGCAGGGCTGAGATGGAATTCAGGTCCCCTGATTTCACATCTGGACTTCTTTACACTCCTGCTTTTCATACTGTAATGTGCATAAAAATTCTATAGTAATCTTGTTAAAAATGCAGATTCAGATGCATTATGTTTGAAGCGGGACACCAGATGCCTCATTTCAAATAAGTTCCCAAATGATGTTCATAATGCTGGTCCAGGGACAACTCTGAGAAGGATTTATACCAAACCACTAGTAGGTTCTCAAGTGACTGCCATTGCCCCTCTAGTAAATTAGCAGTAAGCAGTAGCTCACGTAGTCGTAAGTGGCCGCAGGGCTCCAGAGCTGTGATGGACAGGGCACTGAATTTGGAGTCAGATTATCTGTGTTTGATGCTGCGCTGATGCTATGTGAGTTTGAGCAACTTTCTTAGCCGCTTAGAATGCCATTAAGTAGAAATGATAGATAATAAGGTGCTTTCACATAGAACATCAAGAATTGTTTATTGAAAAACATAATGAAATCTAAATTCATGTACAAGTTGTCACTGTACTTCTCAAGTACCTCACTTCCCTGTATGGTATGTGTTTAATTTAAAGCTTAACATTCCAAAGGATTTTGCCCAACTATGTGTTTACCAACATTGTTTAACATCCATAGCCCAAACTCTTTGATTAACATTAACAATTTCTAGTCTTCTTTTAATTATATTTAAAATTTAACCAAAGCAAGGGACAAAGTAATGCATCGTGTTCTACTTTATCTTCCCTTGAGAAGCAGTGATCTAAACCAAACACTATTTTGAACTACTAACTGCCTCTCGCACAAATATAAGCCTTCACTTAAATGCACAAATTGTTATTCTAGAGATAGCCCATTGTTTCTTAGTTGTCAAGTATAAACTGACTGTGAACTCTTCATGTTCAAGATTAGACATTTCAGATTTTAACTTGATTGTTGTTGTCGTTGTTCCATACAGGGACACCATAACTAATAAGTATTTAATGATTTTAAAAAATTTGGAAAATGCTAGCAAACATACAGGAAAATACGAAATGAATTTCCCTTTTAACCCCAAAAAATAAGATAAAAGTATTATTACATACATTTTTATAATCAGTGTGTTTAATTATACTTTATAATAATTAAACACTGATTAAATAATACAAATCTCTAGAAAATTAAAATTTGCCATTATAAGAAAAAAGTGTGTTAATACCACTAGCATTTACCAGCTATTTTAACCTGGCATAATGCTAGATGCTGGAAATACAAATATAAATAAAATACAGTTTCTGCCCTCAAGGATCCAAAGTGTAGAGACAAGGAATTGGGTCTTGCTTGCCTGAATTCCAAGACTTCATTTACATTTTAGGGTAATGTATTTTTATTTTTTGTTTAGTGTGTTATTGTTTATATTTTAAAAGATTTTTTTCTGAAATGTGATCTTTAAGTTGACGTTTAGAAAGATATCCAACATATTTTAGTGTAATTTATTTACCTTCAATGGTTATCATCCCAACCCCGATGGAATAAAAAACAAATTAGAAGATTTAAGATACATAGATGAGAGTTGATTATTGATTAAAGGAACAAAATATTTTTCAGGCTTAGTATTATTAAAAAGGGATGAGAAATAGGAGATATATCTGAGGCAATTACTCATTTTGATGGGCCACTCTTCCTTACTATTGAGGCTTTTTATCCACATGGTCGTGGCTGTGCTGCACACCCACCGTCTGACTCATCTGACTCATGCTAAGTCCCCCTCCCTTTCCCACACAAAAGCAGCCATTGACACAGCAGGGGAAGAGCCACAGTTCCTATTTGTATGCAGCCCCCATAACATGGGAGAAGTTGTGAAGAGGGATTTGGAGAGAATCAAAAGGACAGGAAGGGTGGAAGAGGGGGCCAAATGAGGGTCGGGAGGTAGGCATTGACCATCTCGGGGAGAACAGAGTTTTCCCATTACTTAGATGGTAGTAGAGTATGGAAGAGGGGTTTAGTAGGAGAATTTTCAATAAATAAGCCTACACTATAATTTGTATCACTTTACAAATGAAAAGAGAATCACATTCCATAAAAAAAGATTATGAACATCGTAGGTTCTTAATACAGTCATGCGTAGCTAACAATAGAGATACATTCTGAGAAATGTGTCATTAGGCAATTTTGTCATTGTGCAAACACAATAGACTGCACTTACACTAGCGTAGATGGCATAGTCAACTACACACCTAGGCTATACGGTAGAGCCTACTGCTTCTAGGCTATGAAGCATGTTATTGTACTGAGTGCTGTAGGCAATTGTAACACAATAGTATTTGTGTATCTAATCATAGAAAAGATATAGTGAAAATAAGGTATGAAAAATAAAAAATGGTACACCTGTATAGGGCTGCTCCATTATAATCTGATGGGACTACTGTCATATATACAGTCTGTCATTGACCAAAACATCGTTATGCAGCATATGACTTTATAATTACAATCACCTGGGGAGCTATTAGATATACACAGATGCCCAAACCCACTCTCAGAGAGTCCAGTACAATTATCTGGGGTCCAGGCAATGATCATTCCTGGAACATTGGTATTTTTACAATCCCAGGTTGACTATGGAGCAGCTTAACATTGAGAACGACTAGCATTGAAAATACTCATCACTTCCTTCTCTTTTAAAATCACAATAGGTTTTAACCCATATGTGACTTTTAAAAGAGAATTAATAAATATACAAAGCTATTTAAAAATATTATATAAAAATGTAAATTGTCATGAAAATTTACTCTGAAAATTTATACTGAACATAATCTCATATTCATTTAAAAAACAAATTAACTTACTTAATGACTACTTTTCTATTAATACTAAAAAATAGATTGATACTGAACTTGGGCCAGTGGTTAGATAGTGTGTGTCTCTGAAACTTTAAATTCATCCCACAAGTGAAAACTTCACCGAAAAAAATGAACAATTAATCCATAGGAAGCTGAGGAAGATCTTTTTCATCAGTGGGATTATTTCCATAGTTTACAGGTGGTCATTATGTGTTTGATTCAAATGACAGTAAATGTTAATGAAATTTTTAAATATAGTTAATTCTGTCATTCTTCTGAATCAATACCTAACCAATTGTCATGAAGTCTTACACAACCCTAAATTGTAATCAGTTTGAAGACTGTTTAGGGATGACACCCAGAAAAATTTAAGTCAGATGATTCTGACTTAAGTATCGGATCATGTTGCAAAACATTTCTTCCACTATCCAACTTTCCAAATGTGTGTAAGTCTACTGAAACCAAATAGACTTAAAAACAGCAATTCCGTCTCTTTCCTCTGTTACGGACCCCATTCCAGCCTTCCTACACATACAACTTCATAGTTAAACAGACTCTGAAATAGTGAGTAGATGAGATCCACTTTAATGTGTTCACAAAAATGTAATGCAGAGTGAAGTTGCAATTGCTTTTTCAATTCAGGTTATCTAGAAAAATATTAAAGGAAAATTTAGTTTCAACTTCTACTAAATTATGTAACTCTTCTTTTGCCTCATTTGACATTCACTAAAATAGAGAAGACTTTGTTTCCGCCTAAGAGATGATTCTGTTTCTATCAGAGAATAGGATGTAGCTACTTAGGGAGTAAAAAAAAAAAAAAATAGAGAGAGAGAGATTTTCATCACACTCAGTGTGGTTCCCTTGTTTTGTAGGAATTGTTATGAATACCTAGAACACTGGATTCATATATACTTGAATGCCACTACTAAAATATATTACATATCTATAAATAAATATCTTCTAGAGTGTTGTTTGGGTGGATGATGATGATAGTGATGATATTCACCTATGAATATTGATCATTGATTTTACAGAGCAAATTACACCAAGAAATCAACCACAGTTTATTAAGTCACTACAATGTCACTGTAAGAGTGACATTGGGGTAAGAGGATGTGATATGACAGGGCTTTGGTTTTCAAGGAATTTGAGTCAGGTTTTAGAAAGAAGTCTTATAATGGTAAGACAATTAGAAATCTATTAAGTGTTCAGTGATGGGCAATGGCTGTACAGAACAAAGGCTTAGCATGAGAAAGTTCAATGGAGTCTATGATATACACAATATGAACACAAACTGTGTGGCAGGCACTTTATCTATATTAACCTATCTAATTCTCACAACCAACCAGTGGGTTGGAAACTCTTATTATCCTTATTAAAGATACATAGATTAAAATATATGAAGTACCAATGGAAAAGATAGGATTTTGGAATGAACCTCGAAACATAAATAGCTAAATGGAAAAGTAGGGAGGGAGAGGGGAAGGAAGATGAGTATGATGTGTGAAACATTACTAGAAGGATGGTGAACTTGGTGAAAGAAGGATAAAACAGAAGGGCAGCAAAGTGATGAGCAAGCCAGAGAAAGACATTATCATAAAATAAGGGTGGATAGATAGAGTGAGATTCTGGAGGATCTAAACCAGGAAGAGGACATTGGAATTGGTGTTGAAGGCAATAGGTGAGTTCTTGGGCAGGAAAGTTATGACAAATGGATCCACTGGGAATCAGCAAAGGACATAAAAAATATTTATTGAGTAGTTACTACATTAGCAACATTGTGCTGGTTACTACAGGAGCTACAGGGAAGCATTGGATTTCAACCCCACAATCATAGCTCCTTATTTATTCTTTAGTTACAGCTAAAATATAGTAGACATTTTATTTGCCATAATCCACGTGTTGATTTTAGGGGAAAACAGCTAGAGGGGTAAAGGTATGAGAGAATATAAAGAGAAAACACCAAGGTAAAATAGGAAGGAATTGGGTGTTCCTAGGGTAGTAAATGCAGGGAAGAACAAATAGGGAGAAATAAAGCTGAAGAAGCTGGCAGGTTGTCAGGGGCCATGCATGCCTTCTGAGATTTTATGCAGCAGGCAACAAAACGCCTTCAGAAAGGATCAACATGGGGAATGATGAAGTCTAATTTTTAATTTTGCTTTATCACTCCAGTGTATATATAGAGAAAATATAGTATTCAGTCTCTGTGTTATTACCTATTGCTGGGTTGTAAAATCAATTTAATGGATTGCAATCAGCATTATGTTTAATTGAAATCATAGAAAGGAATGGAATAGAATAAAAATTCAATACAATAAAAAATCAGAGTTCATTGAACATTGGAAGGTAAGTTTTACTTTGTAAAAACTTTGTTACGTATCCAGATATATCTCTATCTATCTATAAATAGAAATATAAACACAGAGGAAAAGAGAGAGAGAAAGGAAAGAAGGAAGGAAGGAAGGAAGGGAGGAAGGGAGAGAGGGAGGGATGAAGACAGGGAGGGAGGGAGGAAAAGAGGGAGGGAGGAAGGAAAATTTGCAGAGTTAGTGAATGCAACTTTGGATATATTGCATGTGAAGGCTGCTGGCAAGCCCAGTTGGAGCAGCACATTTGTTAGCTGGAAACATGCCGGAAGCACAGGGGAAAGTTCATGACCAAAGACAGACATTGAAGGGTCATCAGTACCTGAAGCCACCTGAACTGTAAAAGGAAAATAAGGATGAGGAAAGAATTTTGGAGAAGTGTGAATAATTCAGAAAGGACTATCTCTGAGACTAAGAAATTAATTGAGAGAAAACTGTAATACGTTACTCCTCATGGACTCGAGGTTTTGAGGAAATTGCTAGTTACAGAGTTTCTAGAAGTAGCAGTAAGAGTAAAGAATAACCTGTTTGACTGTCAAGGGTCTTTGGCGAGAACAATTTTAATGGTTATCACTGCAACCCAACCAGGAAGCCTCCTTTCTCAAGAATGGGTCTGAACACCCTCTAGTTTAACAAGCCCAGGGATGAAATAGTTTTGACCTGAAAAGTTGGACTATGTTAACTATGTGTTCAGGATGCCAACTAAAACTTAGCAAGCATAATTTTTACTGCAAAATTTTATGTATTGGCACAATTAGTCTTTGCACTCATTATATAGTAGAGCATATGATGTAGTTTCAACGACTCATGTTAAAAGAATAGACCACCATCTGAAATTAAAAGCTGACTTTATTGTTTGTAATCCAGGGAAAACTGGTCTTGCAGGGCACAGCCTTTCTGAACAAAGCCAACTTCCAGAAGCAAAATTAAGTTTGGAAAAAGAAGTGGACAGCATGACTCATAGAATTCCTTTAAAAGGAAAATAGAAATGGAACAGTAGCCTAAGGGAAATGCAAAATGATGGGCTGATTTTCAAATTCTTTCAGAATATGAACCCTGGCCATTATTATATTGAAAGAGTCCATAGAGAGAGGGAATAAGTCAAGAAAAATATGATTGACAGGGTGAAATCTCTAAGAATGTTTAAAAGGATGGGGGTCTGGAGACAGATGGAAAGATAAATTATATAGCTTGGATGTCCCCTCCAAATCTCATGCAGAGATGTAATCCTCTGTGCTAGAGTTGGGAACTGGTGGGAGGTGTTTGGGTCATGGCTTGGTGTTGTCCTCAAGAGAGTGATTTCTCAAGAGATCTGGTTATTTAAAAATTTGTAGCACCTCCCCCTGACTTGCTCCTGCACTCACCATGTGATGTGTCTGTTCCTGCTTCACTTTCCATCATGATTAAAAGCAACCTGAGACCTCACCAGAAGTAGATTCCAGCACCATATTTCCTGTAAATCCTGTAGAACTGTAAGCCAACTAAACCTTTTTTTCTTTTATAAATTACCCAAACTTATGTATTTCTTTATGGCAATGCAAGAATGGCCTAACACAGAAACTGGTACTGAGGAGTCGGGCACTGCTATAAAGATAACTAAAATTGTGGAAGCGACTTTGGAACCGGGTAATGAGCAGAGGTTTAAAGAGTTTGGGAGGGCTCAGAAGAAGAAAGGAAGATGAGGGAAACTTTGGAACTTCTTAGAAACTGGTTAAATAATTGTAACCAAAATGTTAATAGTGATATGGACAGTGAAGTCCAGCCTGATGAAGTCTCAGATGGAAATGAGGAACTTTTTGGGAATTGGTGCAAAGGTCACCCTTGTTATGCCTTAGCAAAGAATTTGGCTGCATATCTGTGGAAGTTTGAACTTAAGAGTGATGACCTAGACTATCTAGCAGAAGAAATTTCTAAGCAGCAAAGCATTCAAGATAAGGCCTGGCTGCTTCTAACAGCCTGTAGTCAGATGCAGGAGCAGATAAATGACTTAAAGTTGCACTCTATATTTAGAAGGGAAGCAGAGTATAAAAGTGAAAAATTTGCAGCTTGGCCATGTGGCAGAGAAAGAAAAAGCATTGTCAGGAAAGGAATTCAAGCAGGCTGCAGAGCAACCACTTGTTAGAAAGATTTGCATGACTAAAATGTAGCTAGGTGCTGATAGCCAAGAAAATGGGGGAAAGGCCTCAAAAACTTATCAGAGATCTTTGTAGCAGCCCCTCCTATCACAGGCCTTGAGGCCCTGGAGGAAATAATGGTTTCATGTCCTAGAGCCAGTGCCCCACTGCCCTGCACAGCCTCAGGACACTTTTCCCTGCATCCAGGCCATTCCAGCTCCAGCTGCGGCTCAAAAGCCCTCAGGTACAGCTTGGGCTGCCACTTCAGAGGGTTGGAGCCATAAGCCTTGGTGGTTTTGACATGGTGTTAAGCCTGTAGGTGTGCAGAGTGCAAGAGTGAAGAAAGTTTGGCAGCCTCTGCCCAGATTTCAGAAGATGTATGGAAAAGCCTGGGTGTCCAGGCAGAAGTCTGCTGCAGGGACAGAGCCCCCACAGAGATGCTCTGCTAGGGCAGTGCAGAGGGGAAATGTGGGGTTGGACCCCCCACACAGAGTTCCTACTGGGTCACTGCCTAGTGGAGCTATGGAAAGGGGGCCACCACCTTCTAGACCCCAGAACAATAGCACCGCCAGCAGCTTGTGCCTGACACATGGAAAAGCATCATGCACTCAACTGTAATCCATGAGAGCAGCCACAGGGGCCTAACCCTGCAAAGCCCCAGGCATAGAGCTTCCTAAGGCCCTGGGAGCCCACCCCTTATATTGGGATTGCCATGGTTGTGAGACATGGAGGCAACGGAGATTATTTTAGAGCTTTAAGATTTAGTTACTTCCTTCTGGGTTTCAGACATGCATGGGGCATATAGCCCTTTTCTTCTGGCTGATTTCTCCCTTTTATTTGAGATACTTACCCAGTGTCTGTACCTCCATTGTATCTTGGGAGTAAATAACTTGTTTATATTTTACAGGCTCATATTGGAAGGAACTCATTCCCAAATGAGATTTTTGACTTTTGACTTGGGACTTGGGACTTCTGACTTAATTCTGAAATGAGTTAAGACTTTGAGGGATTATTGGGAAGACATTATTATGTTTCTTTAATGTGATAAGGACATGAGATTTGTGGGGGCAGAGGTGGAATGACACAATTTGGCTGTCTCCTCCAAATCTCATGTTGAGATGTAATCCCTAAAGTTGGAAGTGGGGCCTGGGGGGAGGTGTTTGGGTACTGGAAGTGGATCCCTCAAGGATTGGTGCTGTCCACACAATAGTGAGTGAGTTCTCATGAGATCTCGTTGTTTAAAAGTTTGTGACACCTTCCCCTACCCGTGTTTCCCCCACCAACTGCTCTGGCTCTTGCCATGTGACATACTTGCTCCTGCTTAGCCTTCCACCATAAGTAAGAGCACCCTGAGGCCTCACCAGAAGCAGATACCAGCATCATGCTCCCTGTAAAGCCTGTAGAACCATAAGCCAATTAAATGTCTTTTCTTTATAAATTACCCACCCTTGGGTATTTCTTTATAACAATGCAAGAATGACCTAACACAATAATATTTGAACATATAAGAACCTGTACCATTGAGATAGGAAGAGTTCTTTGGGTAGAAAATAAGTTGAGAAAATTCTTAGCTTAAATGTATTTTAATTGAATTGAAAGCAAATGAGGAATTTGAGACTTGAAACCCAAGATTAGACAGACTACAGAGAGAAATTATATAGGAGGTGAGTAGGAATAAGGGGAAGGGTTCAGGACCTCTCTAAGGAAAGGGATCATGAATCTACATGAAAATAAACTGCAGTTATATGATTTTGTCTAATGTCTCTCTGAGAATCCAAAAGTTTTTATTGACTCAGACTTGAGGTTTTGATGAGAAGAATGAGAAGGGAGAACCATTAATTGTGATTAATGATGACAGGGTGGTTACAATGGTGGATTGTGGGTCTGGGCTGGGTAGGAGAGGACAGAAGAAAGCGTCCAGTGAAGAGAATGCATAGTGGTTCAGGGACTAAAGATGAAAGGACAGATGTTGGAGGATATGGGAGTAAAAGAGATGAAAGGCATAGAGGTTTGGTCCAGGAGTAATACTCTTGGATCTAGAGTATAGGTTTTGAGAGGTTAAGCAATTTCATGGGATTGGGTTGCTAAGCTAGAGGGGAGTTGAGGAGATAAAAATGTGAAAGGCCAGGATGTTAGAAGATTCATTCACAGCCAGATATCTGAACTCACTCAGATGATGTCAGGACAAAGAGCAAAGATGACGATAATCCAGGTGTCAAGTCTTAGTAAATGAGGGAAAATAATTGGAAGTCTGGTAGGTGACAGGGTTAGCAACAGTAGAATATATAGATGACATAGTGTTCTGTAATATTGTACTGAGGGACAGGAAAGACAAAAACCTCCATGTGACAGAGACTGTAGGGGATGTGGGCTCCTTTGAGAAACCAGCTTAAGTTGAAAACGGTGGAGAGAATATTCAAACCTTTGATTAGGGTATGGAGTAATTTGTTTACATTGCCCTGTACATGACAGTGAGCAGCAGTGAGAGGAGAGATTTCCAGCACAATTGGAATGAGGCTTTTGGAGTGTCTCATTCAAAGAGGGGGTGAAACATGCTTGGGGCAGCAAGTATTATCCCCCCTACCATTCCAATTGGTCAATGATCTAGGCCAGGTGAGGTCAATATGTAATCCACTTGCACTGGAAGTCTTCTTCAAAGCTCAGCAAGCCCTAGCCTGAAGGAAAAAAAGAAAGGAGTCTTTCATACCCAGTAAAGTGTAAGGGTAATTTTCTTCCTTTAGTTACTCACACCTCTCCTGCATCATTTTTCCTATGTACATGCAGCACTAATAGAAAACCTGTGAGGTTTATTAGAATTATGTAAACTGCTATGAAGATAAATTGCTTTTGTAATACACCTTTAAAGTTAGCAAGGTTGTTTGTATATTTTGACATGTTCATTTATATTTATTGAATTTTTCTCTTGTTGTTGATATTTGAAACATTACTAAGTAATTGTTTATGACCACTTCAGAGGAAACATACCAGTACATATAATGGTAAGCACATCTTTTTAATGGAGTAGCTACCCTTATTTACCTTGTGTTTTTAAAATTAATTGTAAAAATTGATAAACAAGAATTTACTCTGTGTGTGTGTGTGTGTGTGTGTGTGTGTGTGTGTGTGTGTGTGTGTGCTGTTTATGTGATCTGTGCTTTTAATACACTCTATTTTGGATGTTTCCTAGAACTGGCTTTGAGATAAGGATGATAATTATTTGTTGGCATGTTCAGTTTTAAACACACAAATAAATATTTTAAAATGCCAAGCAGAACGATGAAAAGTGAAAACTAATGAAACAATATTCACACTTTCTGATGCCTTTATAGTGTGTCAGTGTTGAAAGCTGGTAGCTTCACACCAGCTGGTTTTTTTTGTTTTTATTTCAATTATTTTATAACTTTAAAATTTCATTCAGCAATGGACCAAAAAAAATATACCCAAGCTGGTTTAAAGTAGCTCAGCCCTAATACTAGCCTCAAATTATAAATGAACTGAATATCCTATTACTTATTTGGGTTATGAAAACAGCAATCAAGTATCCACTTAAGCAAAAGAAGTCATTGAAATATTGTGCTGTGATATTTGAGGCAACAGGAGACCACTGCTGACACTAAGGGGCCTGCTCAGCATTTCTGGCTCCCATAGAGAGGTATCCTCACAGATACTTTAAAACTGAGTTATTGTATATTTCTCTCAGCTTTAGTGGCATGAACACTGGGAGTGCATTCTAAAACAGGTCCCAGACTGCTGTTTGTGGGCTGATTAATTGAGGCACAGTTCTTCAAAGAAGCATTCAGAGAACACCAACTTCTATGTGGGGACTTCCATTTAGGGAATCACACAGTTGCTGCCCACTGCCACTAGTTAATTTAGGCTGTGAAGGAGAAATATGAAAAGATTAAAATGAATCCCAGAGGCTTAGCTGAAGCTAGAGAGGGGCGTAGGTGCCTGTGATGGAATTTTGACCTCTCCATAAGCGCATGCTGACGACAGGAAAAAGCACAGTGGGATTCTCGGGTCAATCATCAGCTCACCCCCACACAACATGACTATCACAAGGAGATGTGCTGTGCCACTTGTTGCTTTTGTTTTATCCATTTTAAATTACTCTTTCATTTTTTGAATAGGTAATATATTTACACAGTTCAAAATTCGAGGTAGAAAATTGTATAGAGTAATGGCTCCTTTCTATCCCTATTCTCCAACCACAAAATTTCCCTCCAAATGGGCAACTGTTGTTCATCTTTTAAGTTAATAAATATAAACAATATAATAGTACG